>NC_000010.11:41307629-41497440 GCF_000001405.40 Homo sapiens
ATTTGCAATTGGAGATTTTAAGCGATTTGAGGCTAATCTTTGAAATGGAAATATCTTCGTGTAAAAACTACACAGAATCATTCTCAGAAACTGCTTTGTTATCTGTGCGTTCAGTTCACAGAGTTTCACCTTTCTCTTCATAGAGCAGTTTGGAAAGACTCTGTCTGTAAAGTCTGCAAGTGATTAGTTAGACCCCTTTGAGGCCTTCGTTGGAAGCGGGATTTCTCATTTACTGCTAGACAGAAGAATTCTCAGTAAATCCTTTGTGTTGTGTGTATTCAACTCACAGAGTGGAACCTTCCTTTGTTCAGAGCACTTTTGAAACACTCTTTTTGTGGAATTTGCAAGTGGAGATTTCAAGCGAATTCACGCCAATCTTAGACATGGAAACATCTTCGTATTAAAAGTACACAGAGTCATTCGCAGAAACTAGTTTGTGATGTGTGCCTTCAACTCACAGAGTTTAACCTTTCTTTTCATAGAGCAGTTTGGAAACACTCTATTTGTAAAGTCTGCAAGTGGATATTTGGACCTCTTTGAGGCCTTCGTTGGAAACGGGATTTCTTCATATAACGCTAGACAGAAGAATTCTCAGTAACTTCTTTGTGTTGTGTGTATTCAACTCACAGAGTTGAACCTTTCTTTAGAGAGAGCAGAGTTGAAACACTCTGTTTTTGGAATTTGCAACTGCAGATTTCAAGCGATTCTAGGCCTATGGCAGAAAAGGAAATATCTTCGTATAAAAACTACACAGAATCATTCTCAACAACTACTTTGTGATGTGTGCGTTCAACTCACAGAGTTTAACCTTTCTTTTCATAGAGCAGTTTGGAAACACTCTGTTTGTAAAGCCTGCAAGTGCTTTTTTGGACTTCATTGAGGCCTTCGTTGGAAACGGGATTTCTTCATATAATGCTAGACAGAAGAATTCTCAGTCACTTCTTTGTGTTGTGTGTATTCAAGTCACAGAGTTGAACCTTCCTTTAGACAGAGCAGTTTTGAAAAATTCTTTCTGTGGAGTTTGCAAGTGGAGATTTCAAGCGATTTGAGGCTAATCTTTGAAATGGAAATATCTTCGTGTAAAAACTACACAGAATCATTCTCAGAAACTGCTTTGTCATCTGTGCGTTCAGTTCACAGAGTTTCACCTTTCTCTTCATAGAGCAGTTTGGAAAGACTCTGTCTGTAATGTCTGCAAGTGATTAGTTAGACCCCATTGAGGCCTTCGTTGGAAGCGGGATTTCTCATTTACTGCTAGACAGAAGAATTCTCAGTAAATCCTTTGTGTTGTGTGTATTCAACTCACAGAGTTGAACCTTCCTTTATTCAGAGCAGTTTTGAAAAACACTTTTTGTGGAATTTGGAAGTGGAGATTTCAAGCGATTTGACGCCAATCTTAGACATGGAAATATCTTCATATTAAAACTACACAGAAGTCATTCGTAGAAACTAGTTTGTGATGTGTGCCTTCAACTCACAGAGTTTAACCTTTCTTTTCATAGAGCAGTTTGGAAACACTCTATTTGTAAAGTCTGCAAGTGGATATTTGGACCTCTTTGAGGCCTTCGTTGGAAACGGGATTTCTTCATACAACGCTAGACAGAAGAATTCTCAGTAACTTCTTTGTGTTGTGTGTATTCCACTCACAGAGTTGAACCTTTCTTGAGAGAGAGCAGAGTTGAAACACTCTGTTTGTGGAATTTGCTAGTGCAGATTTCAAACGCTTCGAAGACAGTGATAGAAAAGGATATATCTTCGTATTAAAACTAGACAAAAATCATTCTCAACAACTACTTTGTGATGTGTGCGTTCAGCTCACAGCAGTTTAACCTTTCTTGTCATAGAGCAGTTTGGAAACACTCTGTTTGTAAAGTCTGCAGGTGCTTATTTGGACTTCTTTGAGGCCTTCGTTGGAAACGGGATTTCTTCATATAATGCTAGACAGAAGAATTCTCAGTCACTTCTTTGTGTTGTGTGTATTCAAGTCACAGAGTTGAACCTTCCTTTACACAGAGCAGTTTTGAAAAACTCTTTCTGTGGAATTTGCAAGTGGAGATTTCAAGCGATTTGAGGCTAATCTTTGAAATGGAAATATCTTCGTGTAAAAACTACACAGAATCATTCTCAGAAACTGCTTTGTTATGTGTGCGTTCAGCTCACAGAGTTCCACCTTTCTTTTCATAGAGCTGTTTGGAAAGACTCTGTCTGTAAAGTCTGCAAGTGATTACTTGGACCCCTTTGAGGACTTCGTTGGAAGCGGGATTTTTTCATTTACTGCTAGACAGAAGAATTCTCATTAAATCCATTGTGTTGTGTGTATTCAACTCACAGAGTGGAACCTTCCTTTATTCAGAGCAGTTTTGAAACAGTCTTTTTGTGGAATTTGCAAGTGGAGATTTCAAGCGAATTCACGCCAATCTTAGACATGGAAATATCTTCGTGTAAAAACTACACAGAATCATTCTCAGAAAACTCTTTGTGATGTGTGTGTTCAACTCACAGAGTTTAACCTTTCTTTAATCGAGCAGTTTGGAAATACACTCTTTGTAAGTCTGCAGGTGGATATTTGTCCCTCATTGAGCCCTTCTTTGGAAACGGGATTTCCTCTTATAATGCTAGACAGAAGAATTCTCAGTAACTTCTCTGTGTTGTTTGTATTCAACACACAGATTTGAACCTTCCTTTAGAGAGAGCAGATTTGAAACACTCTGTTTTTGGAATTTGCAAGTGCAGATTTCAAGCGCTTCTAGGCCTATGGCAGAAAAGGAAATATCTTCGTATAAAAACTACACAGAATCATTCTGAACAACTACTTTGTGATGTGTGCGTTCAACTCACAGAGTTTAACCTTTCTTTTCATAGAGCAGTTTGGAAACACTCTGTTTGTAAAGCCTGCAAGTGCTTCTTTGGACTTCATTGAGGCCTTCGTTGGAAACGGGATTTCTTCATATAATGCTAGACAGAAGAATTCTCAGTCACTTCTTTGTGTTGTGTGTATTCAAGTCACAGAGTTGAACCTTCCTTTAGACAGAGCAGTTTTGAAAAATTCTTTCTGTGGAATTTGCAAGTGGAGATTTCAAGCGATTTGAGGCTAATCTTTGAAATGGAAATATCTTCGTGTAAAAACTACACAGAATCATTCTCAGAAACTGCTTTGTCATCTGTGCGTTCAGTTCACAGAGTTTCACCTTTCTCTTCATAGAGCAGTTTGGAAAGACTCTGTCTGTAAAGTCTGCAAGTGATTAGTTAGACCCCTTTGAGGCCTTCGTTGGAAGCGGGATTTCTCATTTACTGCTAGACAGAAGAATTCTCAGTAAATCCTTTGTGTTGTGTGTATTCAACTCACAGAGTGGAACCTTCCTTTATTCAGAGCAGTTTTGAAACACTCTTTTTGTGGAATTTGCAAGTGGAGATTTCAAGCGAATTCACGCCAATCTTAGACATGGAAACATCTTCGTATTAAAAGTACACAGAGTCATTCGTAGAAACTAGTTTGTGATGTGTGCCTTCAACTCACAGAGTTTAACCTTTCTTTTCATAGAGCAGTTGGGAAACACTCTATTTGTAAAGTCTGCAAGTGGATATTTGGACCTCTTTGAGGCCTTCGTTGGAAACGGGAGATCTTCATATAACGCTAGACAGAAGAATTCTCAGTAACTTCTTTGTGTTGTGTGTATTCAACTCACCGAGTTGAACCTTTCTTTAGAGAGAGCAGAGTTGAAACACTCTTCTTGTGGAATTTGCTAGTGCAGATTTCAAACGCTTCGAAGACAGTGATAGAAAAGGGTATATCTTCGTATTAAAACTAGACAAAATCATTCTCAGAAAACACTTTGTGATGTGTGTGTTCAACTCACAGAGTTTAACCTTTCTTTAATCGAGCAGTTTGGAAATACACTCTTTGTAAGTCTGCAGGTGGATAATTGGCCCTCTTTGAGCCCTTCGTTGGAAACGGGATTTCCTCATATAATGCTAGACAGAAGAATTCTCAGTCACTTCTTTGTGTTGTGTGTATTCAAGTCACAGAGTTGAACCTTCCTTTACACAGAGCAGTTTTGAAAAACTCTTTCTGTGGAATTTGCAAGTGGAGATTTCAAGCGATTTGAGGCTAATCTTTGAAATGGAAATATCTTCGTGTAAAAACTACACAGAATCATTCTCAGAAACTGCTTTGTCATCTGTGCGTTCAGTTCACAGAGTTTCACCTTTCTCTTCATAGAGCAGTTTGGAAAGACTCTGTCTGTAAAGTCTGCAAGTGATTAGTTAGACCCCTTTGAGGCCTTCGTTGGAAGCGGGATTTCTCATTTACTGCTAGACAGAAGAATTCTCAGTAAATCCTTTGTGTTGTGTGTATTCAACTCACAGAGTTGAACCTTCCTTTATTCAGAGCAGTTTTGAAAAACACTTTTTGTGGAATTTGCAAGTGGAGATTTCAAGCGATTTGACGCCAATCTTAGACATGGAAATATCTTCATATTAAAAGTACACAGAGTCATTCGCAGAAACTAGTTTGTGATGTGTGCCTTCAACTCACAGAGTTTAACCTTTCTTTTCATAGAGCAGTTTGGAAACACTCTATTTGTAAAGTCTGCAAGTGGATATTTGGACCTCTTTGAGGCCTTCGTTGGAAACGGGATTTCTTCATATAACGCTAGACAGAAGAATTCTCAGTAACTTCTTTGTGTTGTGTGTATTCAACTCACAGAGTTGAACCTTTCTTTAGAGAGAGCAGAGTTCAAACACTCTGTTTTTGGAATTTGCAAGTGCAGATTTCAAGCGATTCTAGGCCTATGGCAGGAAAGGAAATATCTTCGTATAAAAACTACACAGAATCATTCTCAACAACTACTTTGTGATGTGTGCGTTCAACTCACAAAGTTTAACCTTTCTTTTCATAGAGCAGTTTGGAAACACGCTGTTTGTAAAGCCTGCAAGTGCTTTTTTGGACTTCATTGAGGCCTTCGTTGGAAACGGGATTTCTTCATATAATGCTAGACAGAAGAATTCTCAGTCACTTCTTTGTGTTGTGTGTATTCAAGTCACAGAGTTGAACCTTCCTTTACACAGAGCAGTTTTGAAAAACTCTTTCTGTGGAATTTGCAAGTGGAGATTTCAAGCGATTTGAGGCTAATCTTTGAAATGGAAATAGCTTCGTGTAAAAACTACACAGAATCATTCTCAGAAACTGCTTTGTTATGTGTGCGTTCAGCTCACAGAGTTCCACCTTTCTTTTCATAGAGCAGTTTGGAAAGACTCTGTCTGTAAAGTCTGCAAGTGATTACTTGGACCCCTTTGAGGACTTCGTTGGAAGCGGGATTTTTTCATTTACTGCTAGACAGAAGAATTCTCAGTAAATCCTTTGTGTTGTGTGTATTCAACTCACAGAGTGCAACCTTCCTTTATTCAGAGCACTTTTGAAAAACTCTTTTTGTGGAATTTGCAAGTGGAGATTTCAAGCGAATTCACGCCAATCTTAGACATGGAAACATCTTCGTATTAAAAGTACACAGAGTCATTCGCAGAAACTGGTTTGTGATGTGTGCCTTCAACTCACAGAGTTTAACCTTTCTTTTCATAGAGCAGTTTGGAAACACTCTATTTGTAAAGTCTGGAAGTGGATATTTGGACTTCTTTGCGACCTTCGTTGGAAACGGGATTTCTTCATATAACGCTAGACAGAAGAATTCTCAGTAACTTCTTTGTGTTGTGTGTATTCAACTCACAGAGTTGAACCTTTCTTGAGAGAGAGCAGAGTTGAAACACTCTGTTTGTGGAATTTGCTAGTGCAGATTTCAAACGCTTCGAAGACAGTGATAGAAAAGGATATATCTTTCGTATTAAAACTAGACAAAATCATTCTCAGAAAACACTTTGTGATCTGTGTGTTCAACTCACAGAGTTTAACCTTTCCTTAATTGAGCAGTTTGGAAATACCCTCTTTGTAAGTCTGCAAGTGGATAATTGGCCCTCTTTGAGCCCTTCGTTGGAAACGGGATTTCCTCATATAGTGCTAGACAGAAGAATTCTCAGTAACTTCTTTCTGTTGTTTGTATTCAACTCACAGATTTGAACCTTCCTTTAGAGAGAGCAGATTGCACACACTCTGTTTTTGGAATTTGCAAGTGCAGATTTCAAGCGCTTCTAGGCCTATGGCAGAAAAGGGAATATCTTCGTATAAAAACTACACAGAATCATTCTCAACAACTACTTTGTGAATGTGTGCGTTCAACTCACAGAGTTTAACCTTTCTTTTCATAGAGCAGTTTGGAAACACTCTGTTTGTAAAGCCTGCAAGTGCTTTTTTGGACTTCATTGAGGCCTTCGTTGGAAACGGGATTTCTTCATATAATGCTAGACAGAAGAATTCTCAGTCACTTCTTTGTGTTGTGTGTATTCAAGTCACAGAGTTGAACCTTCCTTTAGACAGAGCAGTTTTGAAAAATTCTTTCTGTGGAGTTTGCAAGTGGAGATTTCAAGCGATTTGAGGCTAATCTTTGAAATGGAAATATCTTCGTGTAAAAACTACACAGAATCATTCTCAGAAACTGCTTTGTCATCTGTGCGTTCAGTTCACAGAGTTTCACCTTTCTCTTCATAGAGCAGTTTGGAAAGACTCTGTCTGTAAAGTCTGCAAGTGATTAGTTAGACCCCTTTGAGGCCTTCGTTGGAAGCGGGATTTCTCATTTACTGCTAGACAGAAGAATTCTCAGTAAATCCTTTGTGTTGTGTGTATTCAACTCACAGAGTGGAACCTTCCTTTATTCAGAGCAGTTTTGAAACACTCTTTTTGTGGAATTTGCAAGTGGAGATTTCAAGCGAATTCACGCCAATCTTAGACATGGAAACATCTTCGTATTAAAAGTACACAGAATCATTCTCAGAAAACTCGTTGTGATGTGTGTGTTCAACTCACAGAGTTTAACCTTTCTTTAATCGAGCAGTTTGGAAATACACTCTTTGTAAGTCTGCAGGTGGATATTTGGCCCTCTTTGAGCCCTTCGTTGGAAACGGGATTTCCTCATATAATGCTAGACAGAAGAATTCTCAGTAAGTTCCTTGTATTGTTTGTATTCAACTCACAGATTTGAACCTTCCTTTAGAGAGAGCAGATTTGAAACACTCTGTTTTTGGAATTTGTAAGTGCCGATTTCAAGCACTTCTAGGCCTATGGCAGAAAAGGAAATATCTTCGTGTAAAAACTACACAGAATCATTCTCAACAACTACTTTGTGATGTGTGCGTTCAACTCACAGAGTTTAACTTTTCTTTTCATAGAGCAGTTTGGAAACACTCTGTTTGTAAAGTCTGCAGGCGCTTATTTGGACTTCTTTGAGGCCTTCGTTGGAAACGGGATTTCTTCATATAATGCTAGACAGAAGAATTCTCAGTCACGTCTTTGTGTTGTGTGTATTCAAGTCACAGAGTTGAACCTTCCTTTACACAGAGCAGTTTTGAAGAACTCTTTCTGTGGAATTTGCAAGTGGAGATTTCAAGCGATTTCAGGCTAATCTTTGAAATGGAAATATCTTCGTGTAAAAACTACACAGAATCATTCTCAGAAACTGCTTTGTTATGTGTGCGTTCAGCTCACAGAGTTCCACCTTTCTTTTCATAGGGCAGTTTGGAAAGACTCTGTCTGTGAAGTCTGCAAGTGATTACTTGGACCCCTTGGAGGACTTCGTTGGAAGCGGGATTTTTTCATTTACTGCTAGACAGAAGAATTCTCAGTAACTTCTTTGTGTTGTGTGTATTCCACTCACAGAGTTGAACCTTTCTTGAGAGAGAGCAGAGTTGAAACACTCTGTTTGTGGAATTTGCTAGTGCAGATTTCAAACGCTTCGAAGACAGTGATAGAAAAGGATATATCTTTGTATTAAAACTAGACAAAATCATTGTCAGAAAACACTTTGTGATGTGTGTGTTCAACTCACAGAGTTTAACCTTTCTTTAATCGAGCAGTTTGGAAATACACTCTTTGTAAGTCTGCAGCTGGATAATTGTCCCTCTATGAGCCCTTCGTTGGAAACAGGATTTCCTCTTATAATGCTAGACAGAAGAATTCTCAGTAACTTCTTTGTGTTGTGTGTATTTAACTCACAGAGTTGAACCTTTCTTTAGAGAGAGCAGAGTTGAAACACTCTGTTTTTGGAATTTGCAACTGCAGATTTCAAGCGATTCTAGGCCTATGGCAGAAAAGGAAATATCTTCGTATAAAAACTACACAGAATCATTCTCAACAACTACTTTGTGATGTGTGCGTTCAACTCACAGAGTTTAACCTTTCTTTTCATAGAGCAGTTTGGAAACACTCTGTTTGTAAAGCCTGCAAGTGCCTTTTTGGACTTCATTGAGGCCTTCGTTGGAAACGGGATTTCTTCATATAATGCTAGACAGAAGAATTCTCAGTCACTTCTTTGTGTTGTGTGTATTCAAGTCACAGAGTTGAACCTTCCTTTACACAGAGCAGTTTTGAAAAACTCTTTCTGTGGAATTTGCAAGTGGAGATTTCAAGCGATTTGAGGCTAATCTTTGAAATGGAAATAGCTTCGTGTAAAAACTACACAGAATCATTCTCAGAAACTGCTTTGTCATCTGTGCGTTCAGTTCACAGAGTTTCACCTTTCTCTTCATAGAGCAGTTTGGAAAGACTCTGTCTGTAAAGTCTGCAAGTGATTAGTTAGACCCCTTTGAGGCCTTCGTTGGAAGCGGGATTTCTCATTTACTGCTAGACAGAAGAATTCTCAGTAAATCCTTTGTGTTGTGTGTATTCAACTCACAGAGTGGAACCTTCCTTTATTCAGAGCAGTTTTGAAACACTCTTTTTGTGGAATTTGCAAGTGGAGATTTCAAGCGAATTCACGCCAATCTTAGACATGGAAACATCTTCGTATTAAAAGTACACAGAGTCATTCGTAGAAACTAGTTTGTGATGTGTGCCTTCAACTCACAGAGTTTAACCTTTCTTTTCATAGAGCAGTTTGGAAACACTCTATTTGTAAAGTCTGCAAGTGGATATTTGGACCTCTTTGAGGCCTTCGTTGGAAACGGGATTTCTTCATACAACGCTAGACAGAAGAATTCTCAGTAACTTCTTTGTGTTGTTTGTATTCAACTCACAGATTTGAACCTTCCTTTGGAGAGAGCAGATTTGAAACACTCTGTTTTTGGAATTTGCAAGTGCAGATTGCAAGCGCTTCTAGGCCTATGGCAGAAAAGGAAATATCTTCGTATAAAAACTACACAGAATCATTCTCAGAAAACACTTTGTGATGTGTGTGTTCAACTCACAGAGTTTAACCTTTCTTTAATCGAGCAGTTTGGAAATACACTCTTTGTAAGTCTGCAGCTGGATAATTGTCCCTCTATGAGCCCTTCGTTGGAAACGGGATTTCCTCATATAATGCTAGACAGAAGAATTCTCAGTCACTTCTTTGTGTTGTGTGTATTCAAGTCACAGAGTTGAACCTTCCTTTACACAGAGCAGTTTTGAAAAACTCTTTCTGTGGAATTTGCAAGTGGAGATTTCAAGCGATTTGAGGCTTATCTTTGAAATGGAAATATCTTCGTGTAAAAACTACACAGAATCATTCTCAGAAACTGCTTTGTTATGTGTGCGTTCAGCTCACAGAGTTCCACCTTTCTTTTCATAGAGCAGTTTGGAAAGACTCTGTCTGTAAAGTCTGCAAGTGATTACTTGGACCCCTTTGAGGACTTCGTTGGAAGCGGGATTTTTTCATTTACTGCTAGACAGAAGAATTCTCAGTAAATCCTTTGTGTTGTGTGTATTCAACTCACAGAGTGGAACCTTCCTTTATTCAGAGCAGTTTTGAAAAACACTTTTTGTGGAATTTGCAAGTGGAGATTTCAAGCGATTTGACGCCAATCTTAGACATGGAAATATCTTCATATTAAAAGTACACAGAGTCATTCGCAGTAAACTAGTTTATGATGTGTGCCTTCAACTCACGGAGTTTAACCTTTCTTTTCATAGAGCAGTTTGGAAACACTCTATTTGTAAAGTCTGCAAGTGGATATTTGGACCTCTTTGAGGCCTTCGTTGGAAACGGGATTTTTTCATATAACGCTAGACAGAAGAATTCTCAGTAACTTCTTTGTGTTGTGTGTATTCCACTCACAGAGTTGAAGCTTCCTTGAGAGAGAGCAGAGTTGAAACACTCTGTTTGTGGAATTTGCTAGTGCAGATTTCAAACGCTTCGAAGACAGTGATAGAAAAGGATATATCTTCGTATTAAAACTAGACAAAATCATTCTCAGAAAACACTTTGTGATGTGTGTGTTCAACTCACAGTAGTTTAACCTTTCTTTAATCGAGCAGTTTGGAAATACACTCTTTGTAAGTCTGCAGCTGGATAATTGTCCCTCTATGAGCCCTTCGTTGGAAACGGGATTTCCTCTTATAATGCTAGACAGAAGAATTCTCAGTCACTTCTTTGTGTTGTGTGTATTCAAGTCACAGAGTTGAACCTTCCTTTACACAGAGCAGTTTTGAAAAACTCTTTCTGTGGAATTTGCAAGTGGAGATTTCAAGCGATTTGAGGCTAATCTTTGAAATGGAAATAGCTTCGTGTAAAAACTACACAGAATCATTCTCAGAAACTGCTTTGTTATGTGTGCGTTCAGCTCACAGAGTTCCACCTTTCTTTTCATAGAGCAGTTTGGAAAGACTCTGTCTGTAAAGTCTGCAAGTGATTACTTGGACCCCTTTGAGAACTTCGTTGGAAGCGGGATTTTTTCATTTACTGCTAGACAGAAGAATTCTCAGTAAATCATTTGTGTTGCGTTTATTCAACTCACAGAGTGGAACCTTCCTTTATTCAGAGCAGTTTTGAAACACTCTTTTTGTGGAATTTGCAAGTGGAGATTTCAAGCGATTTGACGCCAATCTTAGACATGGAAATATCTTCATATTAAAAGTACACAGAGTCATTCGCAGAAACTAGTTTGTGATGTGTGCCTTCAACTCACGGAGTTTAACCTTTCTTTTCATAGAGCAGTTTGGAAACACTCTATCTGTAAAGTCTGCAAGTGGATATTTGGACCTCTTTGAGGCCTTCGTTGGAAACGGGATTTCTTCATATAACGCTAGACAGAAGAATTCTCAGTAACTTCTTTGTGTTGTTTGTATTCAACTCACAGATTTGAACCTTCCTTTAGAGAGAGCAGATTTGAAACACTCTGTTTTTGGAATTTGCAAGTGCAGATTACAAGCGCTTCTAGGCCTATGGCAGAAAAGGAAATATCTTCGTATAAAAACTACACAGAATCATTCTCAGAAAACACTTTGTGATGTGTGTGTTCAACTCACAGAGTTTAACCTTTCTTTAATCGAGCAGTTTGGAAATACACTCTTTGTAAGTCTGCAGCTGGATAATTGTCCCTCTATGAGCCCTTCGTTGGAAACGGGATTTCCTCTTATAATGCTAGACAGAAGAATTCTCAGTCACTTCTTTGTGTTGTGTGTATTCAAGTCACAGAGTTGAACCTTCCTTTACACAGAGCAGTTTTGAAAAACTCTTTCTGTGGAATTTGCAAGTGGAGATTTCAAGCGATTTGAGGCTAATCTTTGAAATGGAAATATCTTCGTGTAAAAACTACACAGAATCATTCTCAGAAACTGCTTTGTTATGTGTGCGTTCAGCTCACAGAGTTCCACCTTTCTTTTCATAGAGCAGTTTGGAAAGACTCCGTCTGTAAAGTCTGCAAATGATTACTTGGACCCCTTTGAGGACTTCGTTGGAAGCGGGATTTTTTCATTTACTGCTAGACAGAAGAATTCTCAGTAAATCCTTTGTGTTGTGTGTATTCAACTCACAGAGTGGAACCTTCCTTTATTCAGAGCAGTTTTGAAACACTCTTTTTGTGGAATTTGCAAGTGGAGATTTCAAGCGAATTCACGCCAATCTTAGACATGGAAACATCTTCGTATTAAAAGTACACAGAGTCATTCGCAGAAACTAGTTTGTGATGTGTGCCTTCAACTCACGGAGTTTAACCTTTCTTTTCATAGAGCAGTTTGGAAACACTCTATTTGTAAAGTCTGCAAGTGGATATTTGGACCTCTTTGAGGCCTTCGTTGGAAACGGGATTTCTTCATATAACGCTAGACAGAAGAATTCTCAGTAACTTCTTTGTGTTGTTTGTATTCAACTCACAGATTTGAACCTTCCTTTAGAGAGAGCAGATTTGAAACACTCTGTTTTTGGAATTTGCAAGTGCAGATTACAAGCGCTTCTAGGCCTATGGCAGAAAAGGAAATATCTTCGTATAAAAACTACACAGAATCATTCTCAACAACTACTTTGTGATGTGTGCGTTCAACTCACAGAGTTTAACCTTTCTTTTCATAGAGCAGTTTGGAAACACTCTGTTTGTAAAGCCTGCAAGTGCTTTTTTGGACTTCATTGAGGCCTTCGTTGGAAACGGGATTTCTTCATATAATGCTAGACAGAAGAATTCTCAGTCACTTCTTTGTGTTGTGTGTATTCAAGTCACAGAGTTGAACCTTCCTTTAGACAGAGCAGTTTTGAAAAATTCTTTCTGTGGAATTTGCAAGTGGAGATTTCAAGCGATTTGAGGCTAATTCTTTGAAATGGAAATATCTTCGTGTAAAAACTACACAGAATCATTCTCAGAAACTGCTTTGTCATCTGTGCGTTCAGTTCACAGAGTTTCACCTTTCTCTTCATAGAGCAGTTTGGAAAGACTCTGTCTGTAAAGTCTGCAAGTGATTAGTTAGACCCCTTTGAGGCCTTCGTTGGAAGCGGGATTTCTCATTTACTGCTAGACAGAAGAATTCTCAGTAAATCCTTTGTGTTGTGTGTATTCAACTCACAGAGTGGAACCTTCCTTTATTCAGAGCAGTTTTGAAACACTCTTTTTGTGGAATTTGCAAGTGGAGATTTCAAGCGATTTGACGCCAATCTTAGACATGGAAATATCTTCATATTAAAAGTACACAGAGTCATTCTTAGAAACTAGTTTGTGAAGTGTGCCTTCAACTCACAGAGTTTAACCTTTCTTTTCATAGAGCAGTTTAGGAACACTCTATTTCTAAAGTCTGCAAGTAGATATTTGGACCTCTTTGAGACCTTCGTTGGAAACGGGATTTCTTCATATAACGCTAGACAGAAGAATTCTCAGTAACTTCTTTGTGTTGTGTGTATTCCACTCACAGAGTTGAACCTTTCTTGAGAGAGAGCAGAGTGGAAACACTCTTTTTGTGGAATTTGCTAGTGCAGATTTCAAACGCTTCGAAGACAGTGATAGAAAAGGGTATATCTTCGTATTAAAACTAGACAAAATCATTCTCAACAACTACTTTGTGATGTGTGCGTTCAACTAACAGAGTTTAACCTTTCTTTTCATAGAGCAGTTTGGAAACACTCTGTTTGTAAAGCCTGCAAGTGCTTTTTTGGACTTCATTGAGGCCTTCGTTGGAAACGGGATTTCTTCATATAATGCTAGACAGAAGAATTCTCAGTCACTTCTTTGTGTTGTGTGTATTCAAGTCACAGAGTTGAACCTTCCTTTAGACAGAGCAGTTTTGAAAAATTCTTTCTGTGGAATTTGCAAGTGGAGATTTCAAGCGATTTGAGGCTAATCTTTGAAATGGAAATATCTTCGTGTAAAAACTACACAGAATCATTCTCAGAAACTGCTTTGTCATCTGTGCGTTCAGTTCACAGAGTTTCACCTTTCTCTTCATAGAGCAGTTTGGAAAGACTCTGTCTGTAAAGTCTGCAATTGATTAGTTAGACCCCTTTGAGGCCTTCGTTGGAAGCGGGATTTCTCATTAACTGCTAGACAGAAGAATTCTCAGTAAATCCTTTGTGTTGTGTTTATTCAACTCACAGAGTGGAACCTTCCTTTATTCAGAGCAGTTTTGAAACACTCTTTTTGTGGAATTTGCAAGTGGAGATTTCAAGCGATTTGACGCCAATCTTAGACATGGAAATATCTTCATATTAAAAGTACACAGAGTCATTCGCAGAAACTAGTTTGTGATGTGTGCCTTCAACTCACGGAGTTTAACCTTTCTTTTCATAGAGCAGTTTGGAAACACTCTATTTGTAAAGTCTGCAAGTGGATATTTGGACCTCTTTGAGGCCTTCGTTGGAAACGGGATTTCTTCATATAACGCTAGACAGAAGAATTCTCAGTAACTTCTTTGTGTTGTGTGTATTCAACTCACACAGTTGAACCTTTCTTGAGAGAGAGCAGAGTGGAAACACTCTTTTTGTGGAATTTGCTAGTGCAGATTTCAAACGCTTCGAAGACAGTGATAGAAAAGGATATATCTTCGTATTAAAACTAGACAAAATCATTCTCAGAAAACACTTTGTGATGTGTGTGTTCAACTCACAGAGTTTAACCTTTCTTTAATCGAGCAGTTTGGAAATACACTCTTTGTAAGTCTGCAGGTGGATAATTGTCCCTCTATGAGCCCTTCGTTGGAAACGGGATTTCCTCATATAATGCTAGACAGAGAGATTCTCAGTCACTTCTTTGTGTTGTGTGTATTCAAGTCACAGAGTTGAACCTTCCTTTACACAGAGCAGTTTTGAAAAACTCTTTCTGTGGAATTTGCAAGTGGAGATTTCAAGCGATTTGAGGCTAATCTTTGAAATGGAAATATCTTCGTGTAAAAACTACACAGAAATCATTCTCAGAAACTGCTTTGTCATCTGTGCGTTCAGTTCACACAGTTTCACCTTTCTCTTCATAGAGCAGTTTGGAAAGACTCTGTCTGTAAAGTCTGCAAGTGATTAGTTAGACCCCTTTGAGGCCTTCGTTGGAAGCGGGATTTCTCATTTACTGCTAGACAGAAGAATTCTCAGTAAATCCTTTGTGTTGTGTGTATTCAACTCACAGAGTGGAACCTTCCTTTATTCAGAGCAGTTTTGAAAAACACTTTTTGTGGAATTTGCAAGTGGAGATTTCAAGCGATTTGACGCCAATCTTAGACATGGAAATATCTTCATATTAAAAGTACACAGAGTCATTCGCAGAAACTAGTTTGTGATGTGTGCCTTCAACTCACAGAGTTTAACCTTTCTTTTCATAGAGCAGTTTGGAAACACTCTATTTGTTAAGTCTGCAAGTGGATATTTGCACCTCTTTGAGGCCTTCGTTGGAAACGGGATTTCTTCATATAACGCTAGACAGAAGAATTCTCAGTAACTTCTTTGTGTTGTGTGTATTCAACTCACAGAGTTGAACCTTTCTTTAGAGAGAGCAGAGTTGAAACACTCTGTTTTTGGAATTTGCAAGTGCAGATTTCAAGCGATTCTAGGCCTATGGCAGAAAAGGAAATATCTTCGTATAAAAACTACACAGAATCATTCTCAACAACTACTTTGTGATGTGTGCGTTCAACTCACAGAGTTTAACCTTTCTTTTCATAGAGCAGTTTGGAAACACTCTGTTTGTAAAGTCTGCAGGTGCTTATTTGGACTTCTTTGAGGCCTTCGTTGGAAACGGGATTTCTTCATATAATGCTAGACAGAAGAATTCTCAGTCACTTCTTTGTGTTGTGTGTATTCAAGTCACAGAGTTGAACCTTCCTTTACACAGAGCAGTTTTGAAAAACTCTTTCTGTGGAATTTGCAAGTGGAGATTTCAAGCGATTTGAGGCTAATCTTTGAAATGGAAATAGCTTCGTGTAAAAACTACACAGAATCATTCTCAGAAACTGCTTTGTTATGTGTGCGTTCAGCTCACAGAGTTCCACCTTTCTTTTCATAGAGCAGTTTGGAAAGACTCTGTCTGTAAAGTCTGCAAGTGATTACTTGGACCCCTTTGAGGACTTCGTTGGAAGCGGGATTTTTTCATTTACTGCTAGACAGAAGAATTCTCAGTAAATCCTTTGTGTTGTGTGTATTCAACTCACAGAGTGGAACCTTCCTTTATTCAGAGCACTTTTGAAACACTCTTTTTGTGGAATTTGCAAGTGGAGATTTCAAGCGAATTCACGCCAATCTTAGACATGGAAACATCTTCGTATTAAAAGTACACAGAGTCATTCTCAGAAAACACTTTGTGATGTGTGTGTTCAACTCACAGAGTTTAACCTTTCTTTAATCGAGCAGTTTGGAAATACACTCTTTGTAAGTCTGCAGCTGGATAATTGTCCCTCTATGAGCCCTTCGTTGGAAACGGGATTTCCTCATATAATGCTAGACAGAAGAATTCTCAGTAACTTCTTTGTGTTGTGTGTATTCAACTCACAGAGTTGAACCTTTCTTGAGAGAGAGCAGAGTTGAAACACTCTGTTTGTGGAATTTGCTAGTGCAGATTTCAAACGCTTCGAAGACAGTGATAGAAAAGGATATATCTTCGTATTAAAACTAGACAAAATCATTCTCAGAAAACACTTTGTGATGTGTGTGTTCAACTCACAGAGTTTAACCTTTCTTTAATCGAGCAGTTTGGAAATACACTCTTTGTAAGTCTGCAGCTGGATAATTGTCCCTCTATGAGCCCTTCGTTGGAAACGGGATTTCCTCATATAATGCTAGACAGAAGAATTCTCAGTCACTTCTTTGTGTTGTGTGTATTCAAGTCACAGAGTTGAACCTTCCTTTACACAGAGCAGTTTTGAAAAACTCTTTCTGTGGAATTTGCAAGTGGAGATTTCAAGCGATTTGAGGCTAATCTTTGAAATGGAAATATCTTCGTGTAAAAACTACACAGAATCATTCTCAGAAACTGCTTTGTTATGTGTGCGTTCAGCTCACAGAGTTCCACCTTTCTTTTCATAGAGCAGTTTGGAAAGACTCTGTCTGTAAAGTCTGCAAGTGATTACTTGGTCCCCTTTGAGGACTTCGTTGGAAGCGGGATTTTTTCATTTACTGCTAGACAGAAGAATTCTCAGTAAATCCTTTGTGTTGTGTGTATTCAACTCACAGAGTGGAACCTTCCTTTATTCAGAGCAGTTTTGAAACACTCTTTTTGTGGAATTTGCAAGTGGAGATTTCAAGCGAATTCACGCCAATCTTAGACACGGAAACATCTTCGTATTAAAAGTACACAGAGTCATTCGCAGAAACTAGTTTGTGATGTGTGCCTTCAACTCACAGAGTTTAACCTTTCTTTTCATAGAGCAGTTTGGAAACACTCTATTTCTAAAGTCTGCAAGTGGATATTTGGACCTCTTTGAGGCCTTCGTTGGAAACGGGATTTCTTCATATAACGCTAGACAGAAGAATTCTCAGTAACTTCTTTGTGTTGTGTGTATTCCACTCACAGAGTTGAACCTTTCTTGAGAGAGAGCAGAGTTGAAACACTCTGTTTGTGGAATTTGCTAGTGCAGATTTCAAACGCTTCGAAGACAGTGATAGAAAAGGATATATCTTCGTATCAAAACTAGACAAAATCATTCTCAGAAAACACTTTGTGATGTGTGTGTTCAACTCACAGAGTTTAACCTTTCTTTAATCGAGCAGTTTGGAAATACACTCTTTGTAAGTCTGCAGCTGGATAATTGTCCCTCTATGAGCCCTTCGTTGGAAACGGGATTTCCTCATATAATGCTAGACAGAAGAATTCTCAGTCACTTCTTTGTGTTGTGTGTATTCAAGTCACAGAGTTGAACCTTCCTTTACACAGAGCAGTTTTGAAAAACTCTTTCTGTGGAATTTGCAAGTGGAGATTTCAAGCGATTTGAGGCTAATATTTGAAATGGAAATAGCTTCGTGTAAAAACTACACAGAATCATTCTCAGAAACTGCTTTGTTATGTGTGCGTTCAGCTCACAGAGTTCCACCTTTCTTTTCATAGAGCAGTTTGGAAAGACTCTGTCTGTAAAGTCTGCAAGTGATTACTTGGACCCCTTTGAGGACTTCGTTGGAAGCGGGATTTTTTCATTTACTGCTAGACAGAAGAATTCTCAGTAAATCCTTTGTGTTGTGTGTATTCAACTCACAGAGTGGAACCTTCCTGTATTCAGAGCAGTTTTGAAACACTCTTTTTGTGGAATTTGCAAGTGGAGATTTCAAGCGAATTCACGCCAATCTTAGACATGGAAACATCTTCGTATTAAAAGTACACAGAGTCATTCGCAGAAACTAGTTTGTGATGTGTGCCTTCAACTCACGGAGTTTAACCTTTCTTTTCATAGAGCAGTTTGGAAACACTCTATTTGTAAAGTCTGCAAGTGGATATTTGGACCTCTTTGAGGCCTTCGTTGGAAACGGGATTTCTTCATATAACGCTAGACAGAAGAATTCTCAGTAACTTCTTTGTGTTGTTTGTATTCAACTCACAGATTTGAACCTTCCTTTGGAGAGAGCAGATTTGAAACACTCTGTTTTTGGAATTTGCAAGTGCAGATTGCAAGCGCTTCTAGGCCTATGGCAGAAAAGGAAATATCTTCGTATAAAAACTACACAGAATCATTCTCAGAAAACTCTTTGTGATGTGTGTGTTCAACTCACAGAGTTTAACCTTTCTTTTCATAGAGCAGTTTGGAAACACTCTGTTTGTAAAGCCTGCAAGTGCTTTTTTGGACTTCATTGAGGCCTTCGTTGGAAACGGGATTTCTTCATACAACGCTAGACAGAAGAATTCTCAGTCACTTCTTTGTGTTGTGTGTATTCAAGTCACAGAGTTGAACCTTCCTTTAGACAGAGCAGTTTTGAAAAATTCTTTCTGTGGAATTTGCATGTGGAGATTTCAAGCGATTTGAGGCTAATCTTTGAAATGGAAATATCTTCGTGTAAAAACTACACAGAATCATTCTCAGAAACTGCTTTGTCATCTGTGCGTTCAGTTCACAGAGTTTCACCTTTCTCTTCATAGAGCAGTTTGGAAAGACTCTGTCTGTAAAGTCTGCAAGTGATTAGTTAGACCCCTTTGAGGCCTTCGTTGGAAGCGGGATTTCTCATTTACTGCTAGACAGAAGAATTCTCAGTAAATCCTTTGTGTTGTGTGTATTCAACTCACAGAGTGGAACCTTCCTTTATTCAGAGCAGTTTTGAAAAACACTTTTTGTGGAATTTGCAAGTGGAGATTTCAAGCGATTTGACGCCAATCTTAGACATGGAAATATCTTCATATTAAAAGTACACAGAGTCATTCGCAGAAACTAGTTTGTGATGTGTGCCTTCAACTCACAGAGTTTAACCTTTCTTTTCATAGAGCATTTTGGAAACACTCTATTTGTAAAGTCTGCAAGTGGATATTTGGACCTCTTTGAGGCCTTCGTTGGAAACGGGATTTCTTCATGTAACGCTAGACAGAAGAATTCTCAGTAACTTCTTTGTGTTGTTTGTATTCAACACACAGATTTGAACCTTCCTTTAGAGAGAGCAGATTTGAAACACTCTGTTTTTGGAATTTGCAAGTGCAGATTTCAAGCGCTTCTAGGCCTATGGCAGAAAAGGAAATATCTTCGTATAAAAACTACACAGAATCATTCTCAACAACTACTTTGTGATGTGTGCGTTCAACTCACAGAGTTTAACCTTTCTTTTCATAGAGCAGTTTGGAAACACTCTGTTTGTAAAGCCTGCAAGTGCTTTTTTGCACTTCATTGAGGCCTTCGTTGGAAACGGGATTTCTTCATATAATGCTAGACAGAAGAATTCTCAGTCACTTCTTTGTGTTGTGTGTATTCAAGTCACAGAGTTGAACCTTCCTTTAGACAGAGCAGTTTTGAAAAATTCTTTCTGTGGAGTTTGCAAGTGGAGATTTCAAGCGATTTGAGGCTAATCTTTGAAATGGAAATATCTTCGTGTAAAAACTACACAGAATCATTCTCAGAAACTGCTTTGTCATCTTGTGCGTTCAGTTCACAGAGTTTCACCTTTCTCTTCATAGAGCAGTTTGGAAAGACTCTGTCTGTAAAGTCTGCAAGTGATTAGTTAGACCCCTTTGAGGCCTTCGTTGGAAGCGGGATTTCTCATTTACTGCTAGACAGAAGAATTCTCAGTAAATCCTTTGTGTTGTGTGTATTCAACTCACAGAGTGGAACCTTCCTTTATTCAGAGCAGTTTTGAAACACTCTTTTTGTGGAATTTGCAAGTGGAGATTTCAAGCGAATTCACGCCAATCTTAGACATGGAAACATCTTCGTATTAAAAGTACACAGAGTCATTCGTAGAAACTAGTTTGTGATGTGTGCCTTCAACTCACAGAGTTTAACCTTTCTTTTCATAGAGCAGTTGGGAAACACTCTATTTGTAAAGTCTGCAAGTGGATATTTGGACCTCTTTGAGGCCTTCGTTGGAAACGGGATTTCTTCATATAACGCTAGACAGAAGAATTCTCAGTAACTTCTTTGTGTTGTTTGTATTCAACTCACAGATTTGAACCTTCCTTTAGAGAGAGCAGATTTGAAACACTCTCGTTTTGGAATTTGCAAGTGCAGATTACAAGCGCTTCTAGGCCTATGGCAGAAAAGGAAATATCTTCGTATAAAAACTACACAGAATCATTCTCAACAACTACTTTGTGATGTGTGCGTTCAACTCACAGAGTTTAACCTTTCTTTTCATAGAGCAGTTTGGAAACACTCTGTTTGTAAAGTCTGCAGGTGCTTATTTGGACTTCTTTGAGGCCTTCGTTGGAAACGGGATTTCTTCGTATAATGCTAGACAGAAGAATTCTCAGTCACTTCTTTGTGTTGTGTGTATTCAAGTAACAGAGTTGAACCTTCCTTTACACAGAGCAGTTTTGAAAAACTCTTTCTGTGGAATTTGCAAGTGGAGATTTCAAGCGATTTGAGGCTAATCTTTGAAATGGAAATATCTTCGTGTAAAAACTACACAGAATCATTCTCAGAAACTGCTTTGTTATGTGTGCGTTCAGCTCACAGAGTTCCACCTTTCTTTTCATAGAGCAGTTTGGAAAGACTCTGTCTGTAAAGTCTGCAAGTGATTACTTGGACCCCTTTGAGGACTTCGTTGGAAGCGGGATTTTTTCATTTACTGGTAGACAGAAGAATTCTCAGTAAATCCTTTGTGTTGTGTGTATTCAACTCACAGAGTGGAACCTTCCTTTATTCAGAGCAGTTTTGAAACACTCTTTTTGTGGAATTTGCAAGTGGAGATTTCAAGCGAATTCACGCCAATCTTAGACATGGAAACATCTTCGTATTAAAAGTACACAGAAGTCATTCGTAGAAACTAGTTTGTGATGTGTGCCTTCAACTCACAGAGTTTAACCTTTCTTTTCATAGAGCAGTTGGGAAACACTCTATTTGTAAAGTCTGCAAGTGGATATTTGGACCTCTTTGAGGCCTTCGTTGGAAATGGGATTTCTTCATACAACACTAGACAGAAGAATTCTCAGTAACTTCTTTGTGTTGTTTGTATTCAACTCACAGATTTGAACCTTCCTTTAGAGAGAGCAGATTTGAAACACTCTGGTTTTGGAATTTGCAAGTGCAGATTACAAGCGCTTCTAGGCCTATGGCAGAAAAGGAAATATCTTCGTATAAAAACTACACAGAATCATTCTCAACAACTACTTTGTGATGTGTGCGTTCAACTCACAGAGTTTAACCTTTCTTTTCATAGAGCAGTTTGGAAACACTCTGTTTGTAAAGCCTGCAAGTGCTTTTTTGGAGTTCATTGAGGCCTTCGTTGGAAACGGGATTTCTTCATACAACGCTAGACAGAAGAATTCTCAGTCACTTCTTTGTGTTGTGTGTATTCAAGTCACAGAGTTGAACCTTCCTTTACACAGAGCAGTTTTGAAAACCTCTTTCTGTGGAATTTGCAAGTGGAGATTTCAAGCGATTTGAGGCTAATCTTTGAAATGCAAATATCTTCGTGTAAAAACTACACAGAATCATTCTCAGAAACTTCTTTGTTATGTGTGCGTTCAGCTCACAGAGTTCCACCTTTCTTTTCATAGAGCAGTTTGGAAAGACTCTGTCTGTAAAGTCTGCAAGTGATTACTTGGACCCCTTTGAGGACTTCGTTGGAAGCGGGATTTTTTCATTTACTGCTAGACAGAAGAATTCTCAGTAAATCCTTTGTGTTGTGTGTATTCAACTCACAGAGTGGAACCTTCCTTTATTCAGAGCAGTTTTGAAAAACACTTTTTGTGGAATTTGCAAGTGGAGATTTCAAGCGATTTGACGCCAATCTTAGACATGGAAATATCTTCATATTAAAAGTACACAGAGTCATTCGTAGAAACTAGTTTGTGATGTGTGCCTTCAACTCACAGAGTTTAACCTTTCTTTTCATAGAGCAGTTTGGAAACACTCTATTTGTAAAGTCTGCAAGTGGATATTTGGACCTCTTTGAGGCCTTCGTTGGAAACGGGATTTCTTCATACAACGCTAGACAGAAGAATTCTCAGTAACTTCTTTGTGTTGTTTGTATTCAACTCACAGATTTGAACCTTCCTTTGGAGAGAGCAGATTTGAAACACTCTGTTTTTGGAATTTGCAAGTGCAGATTGCAAGCGCTTCTAGGCCTATGGCAGAAAATTAAATATCTTCGTATAAAAACTACACAGAATCATTCTCAACAACTACTTTGTGATGTGTGCGTTCAACTCACAGAGTTTAAACTTTCTTTTCATAGAGCAGTTTGGAAACACTCTGTTTGTAAAGCCTGCAAGTGCTTTTTTGGACTTCATTGAGGCCTTCGTTGGAAACGGGATTTCTTCATGTAATGCTAGACAGAAGAATTCTCAGTCACTTCTTTGTGTTGTGTGTATTCAAGTCACAGAGTTGAACCTTCCTTTAGACAGAGCAGTTTTGAAAAATTGTTTCTGTGGAGTTTGCAAGTGGAGATTTCAAGCGATTTGAGGCTAATCTTTGAAATGGAAATATCTTCGTGTAAAAACTACACAGAATCATTCTCAACAACTACTTTGTGATGTGTGCGTTCAACTCACAAAGTTTAACCTTTCTTTTCATAGAGCAGTTTGGAAACACTCTGTTTGTAAAGCCTGCAATTGCTTTTTGGACTTCATTGAGGCCTTCGTTGGAAAGGGGATTTCTTCATATAATGCTAGACAGAAGAATTCTCAGTAAATCCTTTGTGTTGTGTGTATTCAACTCACAGAGTGGAACCTTCCTTTATTCAGAGCAGTTTTGAAAAACACTTTTTGTGGAATTTGCAAGTGGAGATTTCAAGCGATTTGACGCCAATCTTAGACATGGAAATATCTTCATATTAAAAGTACACAGAGTCATTCGCAGAAACTAGTTTGTGATGTGTGCCTTCAACTCACGGAGTTTAACCTTTCTTTTCATAGAGCAGTTTGGAAACACTCTATTTGTAAAGTCTGCAAGTGGATAATTGGACCTCTTTGAGGCCTTCTTTGGAAACGGGATTTCTTCATATAACGCTAGACAGAAGAATTCTCAGTAACTTCTTTGTGTTGTGTGTATTCAACTCACAGAGTTGAACCTTTCTTGAGAGAGAGCAGAGTTGAAACACTCTTTCTGTGGAATTTGCTAGTGCAGATTTCAAACGCTTCGAAGACAGTGATAGAAAAGGATATATCTTCGTATTAAAACTAGACAAAAATCATTCTCAACAACTACTTTGTGATGTGTGCGTTCAACTCACAGAGTTTAACCTTTCTTTTCATAGAGCAGTTTGGAAACACTCTGTTTGTAAAGCCTGCAAGTGCTTTTTTGGACTTCATTGAGGCCTTCGTTGGAAACGGGATTTCTTCATATAATGCTAGACAGAAGAATTCTCAGTCACTTCTTTGTGTTGTGTGTATTCAAGTCACAGAGTTGAACCTTCCTTTAGACAGAGCAGTTTTGAAAAATTCTTTCTGTGTAATTTGCAAGTGGAGATTTCAAGCGATTTGAGGCTAATCTTTGAAATGGAAATATCTTCGTGTAAAAACTACACAGAATCATTCTCAGAAACTTCTTTGTTATGAGTGCGTTCAGCTCACAGAGTTCCACCTTTCTTTTCATAGAGCAGTTTGGAAAGACTCTGTCTGTAAAGTCTGCAATTGATTACTTGGACCCCTTTGAGGACTTCGTTGGAAGCGGGATTTTTTCATTTACTGCTAGACAGAAGAATTCTCATTAAATCCTTTGTGTTGTGTGTATTCAACTCACAGAGTGGAACCTTCCTTTATTCAGAGCAGTTTTGAAACACTCTTTTTGTGGAATTTGCAAGTGGAGATTTCAAGCGAATTCACGCCAATCTTAGACATGGAAATATCTTCGTATTAAAAGTACACAGAGTCATTCGCAGAAACTAGTTTGTGATGTGTGCCTTCAACTCACAGAGTTTAACCTTTCTTTTCATAGAGCAGTTTGGAAACACTCTATTTGTAAAGTCTGCAAGTGGATATTTGGACGTCTTTGAGGCCTTCGTTGGAAACGGGATTTCTTCATATAACGCTAGACAGAAGAATTCTCAGTAACTTCTTTGTGTTGTGTGTATTCCACTCACAGAGTTGAACCTTTCTTGAGAGAGAGCAGAGTTGAAACACTCTGTTTGTGGAATTTGCTAGTGCAGATTTCAAACGCTTCGAAGACAGTGATAGAAAAGGATATATCTTCGTATTAAAACTAGACAAAATCATTCTCAACAACTACTTTGTGATGTGTGCGTTCAACTCACAGAGTTTAACCTTTCTTTTCATAGAGCAGTTTGGAAACACTCTGTTTGTAAAGCCTGCAAGTGCTTTTTTGGACTTCATTGAGGCCTTCGTTGGAAACGGGATTTCTTCATATAATGCTAGACAGAAGAATTCTCAGTCACTTCTTTGTGTTGTGTGTATTCAAGTCACAGAGTTGAACCTTCCTTTACACAGAGCAGTTTTGAAAAACTCTTTCTGTGGAATTTGCAAGTGGAGATTTCAAGCGATTTGAGGCTAATCTTTGAAATGGAAATATCTTCGTGTAAAAACTACACAGAATCATTCTCAGAAACTGCTTTGTTATCTTTGCGTTCAGTTCACAGAGTTTCACCTTTCTCTTCATAGAGCAGTTTGGAAAGACTCTGTCTGTAAAGTCTGCAAGTGATTAGTTAGACCCCTTTGAGGCCTTCGTAGAAGCGGGGTTTCTCATTTACTGCCAGACAGAAGAATTCTCAGTAAATCCTTTGTGTTGTGTGTATTCAACTCACAGAGTGGAACCTTCCTTTATTCAGAGCAGTTTTGAAAAACACTTTTTGTGGAATTTGGAAGTGGAGATTTCAAGCGAATTCATGCCAATCTTAGACATGGAAATATCTTCGTATTAAAAGTACACAGAGTCATTCGCAGAAACTAGTTTGTGATGTGTGCCTTCAACTCACGGAGTTTAACCTTTCTTTTCATAGAGCAGTTTGGAAACACTCTATTTGTAAAGTCTGCAAGTGGATATTTGGACCTCTTTGAGGCCTTCGTTGGAAACGGGATTTCTTCATATAACGCTAGACAGAAGAATTCTCAGTAACTTCTTTGTGTTGTGTGTATTCAACTCACAGAGTTGAACCTTTCTTTAGAGAGAGCAGAGTTGAAACACTCTGTTTTTGGAATTTGCAACTGCAGATTTCAAGCGATTCTAGGCCTATGGCAGAAAAGGAAATATCTTCGTATAAAAACTACACAGAATCATTCTCAACAACTACTTTGTGATGTGTGCGTTCAACTCACAGAGTTTAACCTTTCTTTTCATAGAGCAGTTTGGAAACACTCTGTTTGTAAAGCCTGCAAGTGCTTTTTTGGACTTCATTGAGGCCTTCGTTGGAAACGGGATTTCTTCATATAATGCTAGACAGAAGAATTCTCAGTCACTTCTTTGTGTTGTGTGTATTCAAGTCACAGAGTTGAACCTTCCTTTACACAGAGCAGTTTTGAAAAACTCTTTCTGTGGAATTTGCAAGTGGAGATTTCAAGCGATTTGAGGCTAATCTTTGAAATGGAAATAGCTTCGTGTAAAAACTACACAGAATCATTCTCAGAAACTGCTTTGTCATCTGTGCGTTCAGTTCACAGAGTTTCACCTTTCTCTTCATAGAGCAGTTTGGAAAGACTCTGTCTGTAAAGTCTGCAAGTGATTAGTTAGACCCCTTTGAGGCCTTCGTTGGAAGCGGGATTTCTCATTTACTGCTAGACAGAAGAATTCTCAGTAAATCCTTTGTGTTATGTGTATTCAACTCACAGAGTGGAACCTTCCTTTATTCAGAGCAGTTTTGAAAAACACTTTTTGTGGAATTTGCAAGTGGAGATTTCAAGCGATTTTACGCCAATCTTAGACATGGAAATATCTTCATATTAAAAGTACACAGAGTCATTCGTAGAAACTAGTTTGTGATGTGTGCCTTCAACTCACAGAGTTTAACCTTTCTTTTCATAGAGCAGTTTGGAAACACTCTATTTGTAAAGTCTGCAAGTGGATATTTGGACCTCTTTGAGGCCTTCGTTGGAAACGGGATTTCTTCATACAACGCTAGACAGAAGAATTCTCAGTAACTTCTTTGTGTTGTGTGTATTCCACTCACAGAGTTGAACCTTTCTTGAGAGAGAGCAGAGTTGAAACACTCTGTTTGTGGAATTTGCTAGTGCCGATTTCAAACGCTTCGAAGACAGTGATAGAAAAGGATATATCTTCGTATTAAAACTAGACAAAATCATTCTCAACAACTACTTTGTGATGTGTGCGTTCAGCTCACAGAGTTTAACCTTTCTTTTCATAGAGCAGTTTGGAAACACTCTGTTTGTAAAGTCTGCAGGTGCTTATTTGGACTTCTTTGAGGCCTTCGTTGGAAACGGGATTTCTTCATATAATGCTAGACAGAAGAATTCTCAGTCACTTCTTTGTGTTGTGTGTATTCAAGTCACAGAGTTGAACCTTCCTTTAGACAGAGCAGTTTTGAAAAATTCTTTCTGTGGAGTTTGCAAGTGGAGATTTCAAGCGATTTGAGGCTAATCTTTGAAATGGAAATATCTTCGTGTAAAAACTACACAGAATCATTCTCAGAAACTGCTTTGTCATCTGTGCGTTCAGTTCACAGAGTTTCACCTTTCTCTTCATAGAGCAGTTTGGAAAGACTCTGTCTGTAAAGTCTGCAAGTGATTAGTTAGACCCCTTTGAGGCCTTCGTTGGAAGCGGGATTTCTCATTTACTGCTAGACAGAAGAATTCTCAGTAAATCCTTTGTGTTGTGTGTATTCAACTCACAGAGTGGAACCTTCCTTTATTCAGAGCACTTTTGAAAAACACTTTTTGTGGAATTTGCAAGTGGAGATTTCAAGCGATTTGACGCCAATCTTAGACATGGAAATATCTTCATATTAAAAGTACACAGAGTCATTCGCAGAAACTAGTTTGTGATGTGTGCCTTCAACTCACGGAGTTTAACCTTTCTTTTCATAGAGCAGTTTGGAAACACTCTATTTGTAAAGTCTGCAAGTGGATATTTGGACCTCTTTGAGGCCTTCGTTGGAAACGGGATTTCTTCATATAACGCTAGACAGAAGAATTCTCAGTAACTTCTTTGTGTTGTTTGTATTCAACACACAGATTTGAACCTTCCTTTAGAGAGAGCAGATTTGAAACACTCTGTTTTTGGAATTTGCAAGTGCATATTTCAAGCGCTTCTAGGCCTATGGCAGAAAAGGAAATATCTTCATATAAAAACTACACAGAATCATTCTCAACAACTACTTTGTGATGTGTGCGTTCAACTCACAGAGTTTAACCTTTCTTTTCATAGAGCAGTTTGGAAACACTCTGTTTGTAAAGCCTGCAAGTGCTTTTTTGGACTTCATTGAGGCCTTCGTTGGAAACGGGATTTCTTCATATAATGCTAGACAGAAGAATTCTCAGTCACTTCTTTGTGTTGTGTGTATTCAAGTCACAGAGTTGAACCTTCCTTTACACAGAGCAGTTTTGAAAAACTCTTTCTGTGGAATTTGCAAGTGGAGATTTCAAGCGATTTGAGGCTAATCTTTGAAATGGAAATATCTTCGTGTAAAAACTACACAGAAACATTCTCAGAAACTGCTTTGTTATGTGTGCGTTCAGCTCACAGAGTTCCACCTTTCTTTTCATAGAGCAGTTTGGAAAGACTCTGTCTGTAAAGTCTGCAAGTGATTACTTGGATCCCCTTTGAGGACTTCGTTGGAAGCGGGATATTTTCATTTACTGCTAGACAGAAGAATTCTCAGTAAATCCTTTGTGTTGTGTGTATTCAACTCACAGAGTGGAACCTTCCTTTATTCAGAGCAGTTTTGAAACACTCTTTTTGTGGAATTTGCAAGTGGAGATTTCAAGCGAATTCACGCCAATCTTAGACATGGAAACATCTTCGTATTAAAAGTACACAGAGTCATTCGTAGAAACTAGTTTGTGATGTGTGCCTTCAACTCACAGAGTTTAACCTTTCTTTTCATAGAGCAGTTGGGAAACACTCTATTTGTAAAGTCTGCAAGTGGATATTTGGACCTCTTTGAGGCCTTCGTTGGAAACGGGATTTCTTCATATAACGCTAGACAGAAGAATTCTCAGTAACTTCTTTGTGTTGTTTGTATTCAACACACAGATTTGAACCTTCCTTTAGAGAGAGCAGATTTGAAACACTCTGTTTTTGGAATTTGCAAGTGCAGATTTCAAGCGCTTCTAGGCCTATGGCAGAAAAGGAAATATCTTCGTATAAAAACTACACAGAATCATTCTCAACAACTACTTTGTGATGTGTGCGTTCAACTCACAGAGTTTAACCTTTCTTTTCATAGAGCAGTTTGGAAACACTCTGTTTGTAAAGTCTGCAGGTGCTTATTTGGACTTCTTTGAGGCCTTCGTTGGAAACGGGATTTCTTCATATAATGCTAGACAGAAGAATTCTCAGTCACTTCTTTGTGTTGTGTGGATTCAAGTCACAGAGTTGAACCTTCCTTTACACAGAGCAGTTTTGAAAAACTCTTTCTGTGGAATTTGCAAGTGGAGATTTCAAGCGATTTGAGGCTAATCTTTGAAATGGAAATAGCTTCGTGTAAAAACTACACAGAATCATTCTCAGAAACTGCTTTGTTATGTGTGCGTTCAGCTCACAGAGTTCCACCTTTCTTTTCATAGAGCAGTTTGGAAAGACTCTGTCTGTAAAGTCTGCAAGTGATTACTTGGACCCCTTTGAGGACTTCGTTGGAAGCGGGATTTTTTCATTTACTGCTAGACAGAAGAATTCTCAGTAAATCCTTTGTGTTGTGTGTATTCAACTCACAGAGTGGAACCTTCCTTTATTCAGAGCAGTTTTGAAACACTCTTTTTGTGGAATTTGCAAGTGGAGATTTCAAGCGAATTCACGCCAATCTTAGACATGGAAACATCTTCGTATTAAAAGTACACAGAGTCATTCGTAGAAACTAGTTTGTGATGTGTGCCTTCAACTCACAGAGTTTAACCTTTCTTTTCATAGAGCAGTTGGGAAACACTCTATTTGTAAAGTCTGCAAGTGGATATTTGGACCTCTTTGAGGCATTCTTTGGAAACGGGATTTCTTCATATAACCCTAGACAGAAGAATTCTCAGTAACTTCTTTGTGTTGTTTGTATTCAACACACAGATTTGAACCTTCCTTTAGAGAGAGCAGATTTGAAACACTCTGTTTTTGGAATTTGCAAGTGCAAATTTCAAGCGCTTCTAGGCCTATGGCAGCAAAGGAAATATCTTCGTATAAAAACTACACAGAATCATTCTCAGAAAACACTTTGTGATGTGTGTGTTCAACTCACAGAGTTTAACCTTTCTGTAATCGAGCAGTTTGGAAATACACTCTTTGTAAGTCTGCAGGTGGATAATTGTCCCTCTATGAGCCCTTCGTTGGAAACGGGATTTCCTCATATAATGCTAGACAGAAGAATTCTCAGTCACTTCTTTGTGTTGTGTGTATTCAAGTCACAGAGTTGAACCTTCCTTTACACAGAGCAGTTTTGAAAAACTCTTTCTGTGGAATTTGCAAGTGGAGATTTCAAGCGATTTGAGGCTAATCTTTGAAATGGAAATAGCTTCGTGTAAAAACTACACAGAATCATTCTCAGAAACTGCTTTGTTATGTGTGCGTTCAGCTCACAGAGTTCCACCTTTCTTTTCATAGAGCAGTTTGGAAAGACTCTGTCTGTAAAGTCTGCAAGTGATTACTTGGACCCCTTTGAGGACTTCGTTGGAAGCGGGATTTTTTCATTTACTGCTAGACAGAAGAATTCTCAGTAAATCCTTTGTGTTGTGTGTATTCAACTCACAGAGTGGAACCTTCCTTTATTCAGAGCAGTTTTGAAACACTCTTTTTGTGGAATTTGCAAGTGGAGATTTCAAGCGAATTCACGCCAATCTTAGACATGGAAACATCTTCGTATTAAAAGTACACAGAGTCATTCGCAGAAACTAGTTTGTGATGTGTGCCTTCAACTCACGGAGTTTAACCTTTCTTTTCATAGAGCAGTTTGGAAACACTCTATCTGTAAAGTCTGCAAGTGGATATTTGGACCTCTTTGAGGCCTTCGTTGGAAACGGGATTTCTTCATATAACGCTAGACAGAAGAATTCTCAGTAACTTCTTTGTGTTGTGTGTATTCAACTCACAGAGTTGAACCTTTCTTTAGAGAGAGCAGAGTTGAAACACTCTGTTTTTGGAATTTGCAAGTGTAGATTTCAAGCGATTCTAGGCCTATGGCAGAAAAGGAAATATCTTCGTATAAAGACTACACAGAAATCATTCTCAACAACTACTTTGTGATGTGTGAGTTCAACTCACAGAGTTTAACCTTTCTTTTCATAGAGCAGTTTGGAAACACTCTGTTTGTAAAGCCTGCAAGTGCTTTTTTGGACTTCATTGAGGCCTTCGTTGGAAACGGGATTTCTTCATACAACGCTAGACAGAAGAATTCTCAGTCACTTCTTTGTGTTGTGTGTATTCAAGTCACAGAGTTGAACCTTCCTTTACACAGAGCAGTTTTGAAAAACTCTTTCTGTGGAATTTGCAAGTGGAGATTTCAAGCGATTTGAGGCTAATCTTTGAAATGGAAATAGCTTCGTGTAAAAACTACACAGAATCATTCTCAGAAACTGCTTTGTCATCTGTGCGTTCAGTTCACAGAGTTTCACCTTTCTCTTCATAGAGCAGTTTGGAAAGACTCTGTCTGTAAAGTCTGCAAGTGATTAGTTAGACCCCTTTGAGGCCTTCGTTGGAAGCGGGATTTCTCATTTACTGCTAGACAGAAGAATTCTCAGTAAATCCTTTGTGTTGTGTGTATTCAACTCACAGAGTGGAACCTTCCTTTATTCAGAGCAGTTTTGAAACACTCTTTTTGTGGAATTTGCAAGTGGAGATTTCAAGCGAATTCACGCCAATCTTAGACATGGAAACATCTTCGTATTAAAAGTACACAGAGTCATTCGTAGAAACTAGTTTGTGATGTGTGCCTTCAAGTCACAGAGCTTAACCTTTCTTTTCATAGAGCAGTTTGGAAACACTCTATTTGTAAAGTCTGCAAGTGGATATTTGTACCTCTTTGAGGCCTTCGTTGGAAACGGGATTTCTTCATACAACGCTAGACAGAAGAATTCTCAGTAACTTCTTTGTGTTGTGTGTATTCAACTCACAGAGTTGAACCTTTCTTTAGAGAGAGCAGAGTTGAAACACTCTGTTTTTGGAATTTGCAATTGCAGATTTCAAGCGATTCTAGGCCTATGGCAGAAAAGGAAATATCTTCGTATAAAAACTACACAGAATCATTCTCAGAAAACACTTTGTGATGTGTGTGTTCAACTCACAGAGTTTAACCTTTCTTTAATCGAGCAGTTTGGAAATACACTCTTTGTAAGTCTGCAGGTGGATAATTGGCCCTCTTTGAGCCCTTCGTTGGAAACGGGATTTCCTCATATAATGCTAGACAGAAGAATTCTCAGTCACTTCTTTGTGTTGTGTGTATTCAAGTCAAAGAGTTGAACCTTCCTTTACACAGAGCAGTTTTGAAAAACTCTTTCTGTGGAATTTGCAAGTGGAGATTTCAAGCGATTTGAGGCTAATCTTTGAAATGGAAATATCTTCGTTTAAAAACTACACAGAATCATTCTCAGAAACTGCTTTGTTACGTGTGCGTTCAGCTCACAGAGTTACACCTTTCTTTTCATAGAGCAGTTTGGAAAGACTCTGTCTGTAAAGTCTGCAAGTGATTACTTGGACCCCTTTGAGGACTTCGTTGGAAGCGGGATTTTTTCATTTACTGCCAGACAGAAGAATTCTCAGTAAATCCTTTGTGTTGTGTGTATTCAACTCACAGAGTGGAACCTTCCTTTATTCAGAGCAGTTTTGAAACACTCTTTTTGTGGAATTTGCAAGTGGAGATTTCAAGCGATTTGACGCCAATCTTAGACATGGAAATATCTTCATATTAAAAGTACACAGAGTCATTCGTAGAAACTAGTTTGTGATGTGTGCCTTCAACTCACAGAGTTTAACCTTTCTTTTCATAGAGCAGTTTGGAAACACTCTATTTGTAAAGTCTGCAAGTGGATATTTGGACCTCTTTGAGGCCTTCGTTGGAAACGGGATTTCTTCATACAACGCTAGACAGAAGAATTCTCAGTAACTTCTTTGTGTTGTTTGTATTCAACTCACAGATTTGAACCTTCCTTTAGAGAGAGCAGATTTGAAACACTCTGTTTTTGGAATTTGCAAGTGCAGATTACAAGCGCTTCTAGGCCTATGGCAGAAAAGGAAATATCTTCGTATAAAAACTACACAGAATCATTCTCAACAACTACTTTGTGATGTGTGCGTTCAACTCACAGAGTTTAACCTTTCTTTTCATAGAGCAGTTTGGAAACACTCTGTTTGTAAAGCCTGCAAGTGCTTTTTTGGACTTCATTGAGGCCTTCGTTGGAAACGGGATTTCTTCATATAATGCTAGACAGAAGAATTCTCAGTCACTTCTTTGTGTTGTGTGTATTCAAGTCACAGAGTTGAACCTTCCTTTACACAGAGCAGTTTTGAAAAACTCTTTCTGTGGAATTTGCAAGTGGAGATTTCAAGCGATTTGAGGCTAATCTTTGAAATGGAAATATCTTCGTGTAAAAACTACACAGAATCATTCTCAGAAACTGCTTTGTTATGTGTGCGTTCAGCTCACAGAGTTCCACCTTTCTTTTCATAGAGCAGTTTGGAAAGACTCTGTCTGTAAAGTCTGCAAGTGATTACTTGGACCCCTTTGAGGACTTCGTTGGAAGCGGGATTTTTTCATTTACTGCTAGACAGAAGAATTCTCAGTAAATCCTTTGTGTTGTGTGTATTCAACTCACAGAGTGGAACCTTCCTTTATTCAGAGCAGTTTTGAAAAACACTTTTTGTGGAATTTGCAAGTGGAGATTTCAAGCGATTTGACGCCAATCTTAGACATGGAAATGTCTTCATATTAAAAGTACACAGAGTCATTCGTAGAAACTAGTTTGTGATGTGTGCCTTCAACTCACAGAGTTTAACCTTTCTTTTCATAGAGCAGTTGGGAAACACTCTATTTGTAAAGTCTGCAAGTGGATATTTGGACCTCTTTGAGGCCTTCGTTGGAAACGGGATTTCTTCATACAACGCTAGACAGAAGAATTCTCAGTAACTTCTTTGTGTTGTGTGTATTCAACTCACAGAGTTGAACCTTTCTTGAGAGAGAGCAGAGTTGAAACACTCTGTTTGTGGAATTTGCTAGTGCAGATTTCAAACGCTTCGAAGACAGTGATAGAAAAGGATATATCTTCGTATTAAAACTAGACAAAATCATTCTCAGAAAACACTTTGTGATGTGTGTGTTCAACTCACAGAGTTTAACCTTTCTTTAATCGAGCAGTTTGGAAATACACTCTTTGTAAGTCTGCAGCTGGATAATTGTCCCTCTATGAGCCCTTCGTTGGAAACGGGATTTCCTCATATAATGCTAGACAGAAGAATTCTCAGTCACTTCTTTGTGTTGTGTGTATTCAAGTCACAGAGTTGAACCTTCCTTTAGACAGAGCAGTTTTGAAAAATTCTTTCTGTGTAATTTGCAAGTGGAGATTTCAAGCGATTTGAGGCTAATCTTTGAAATGGAAATATCTTCGTGTAAAAACTACACAGAATCATTCTCAGAAACTGCTTTGTTATGTGTGCGTTCAGCTCACAGAGTTCCACCTTTCTTTTCATAGAGCAGTTTGGAAAGACTCTGTCTGTAAAGTCTGCAAGTGATTACTTGGACCCCTTTGAGGACTTCGTTGGAAGCGGGATTTTTTCATTTACTGCTAGACAGAAGAATTCTCAGTAAATCCTTTGTGTTGTGTGTATTCAACTCACAGAGTGGAACCTTCCTTTATTCAGAGCAGTTTTGAAACACTCTTTTTGTGGAATTTGCAAGTGGAGATTTCAAGCGATTTGACGCCAATCTTAGACATGGAAATATCTTCATATTAAAAGTACACAGAGTCATCCGTAGAAACTAGTTTGTGATGTGTGCCTTCAACTCACAGAGTTTAACCTTTCTTTTCATAGAGCAGTTGGGAAACACTCTATTTGTAAAGTCTGCAAGTGGATATTTGGACCTCTTTGAGGCCTTCGTTGGAAACGGGATTTCTTCATACAACGCTAGACAGAAGAATTCTCAGTAACTTCTTTGTGTTGTTTGTATTCAACTCACAGATTTGGACCTTCCTTTAGAGAGGGCAGATTTGAAACACTCTGTTCTTGGAATTTGCAAGTGGAGATTTCAAGGGCTTCTGGGCCTATGGCAGAAAAGGAAATATCTTCGTATAAAAACTACACAGAATCATTCTCAACAACTACTTTGTGATGTGTGCGTTCAACTCACAAAGTTTAACCTTACTTTTCATAGAGAAGTTTGGAAACACTCTGTTTCTAAAGCCTGCAAGTGCTTTTTTGGACTTCATTGAGGCCTTCGTTGGAAACGGGATTTCTTCATATAATGCTAGACAGAAGAATTCTCAGTCACTTCTTTGTGTTGTGTGTATTCAAGTCACAGAGTTGAACCTTCCTTTAGACAGAGCAGTTTTGAAAAATTCTTTCTGTGGAGTTTGCAAGTGGAGATTTCAAGCGATTTGAGGCTAATCTTTGAAATGGAAATATCTTCGTGTAAAAACTACACAGAATCATTCTCAGAAACTGCTTTGTTATGTGTGCGTTCAGCTCACAGAGTTCCACCTTTCTTTTCATAGAGCAGTTTGGAAAGACTCTGTCTGTAAAGTCTGCAAGTGATTACTTGGACCCCTTTGAGGACTTCGTTGGAAGCGGGATTTTTTCATTTACTGCTAGACAGAAGAATTCTCAGTAAATCCTTTGTGTTGTGTGTATTCAACTCACAGAGTGGAACCTTCCTTTATTCAGAGCAGTTTTGAAAAACACTTTTTGTGGAATTTGCAAGTGGAGATTTCAAGCGATTTGACGCCAATCTTAGACATGGAAATATCTTCATATTAAAAGTACACAGAGTCATTCGCAGAAACTAGTTTGTGATGTGTGCCTTCAACTCACGGAGTTTAACCTTTCTTTTCATAGAGCAGTTTGGAAACACTCTATTTGTAAAGTCTGCAAGTGGATATTTGGACCTCTTTGAGGCCTTCGTTGGAAACGGGATTTCTTCATATAACGCTAGACAGAAGAATTCACAGTAACTTCTTTGTGTTGTTTGTATTCAACTCACAGATTTGAACCTTCCTTTAGAGAGAGCAGATTTGAAACACTCTGTTTTTGGAATTTGCAAGTGTAGATTACAAGCGATTCTAGGCCTATGGCAGAAAAGGAAATATCTTCGTATAAAAACTACACAGAATCATTCTCAACAACTACTTTGTGATGTGTGCGTTCAACTCACAGAGTTTAACTTTTCTTTTCATAGAGCAGTTTGGAAACACTCTGTTTGTAAAGTCTGCAGGTGCTTATTTGGACTTCTTTGAGGCCTTCGTTGGAAACGGGATTTCTTCATATAATGCTAGACAGAAGAATTCTCAGTCACTTCTTTGTGTTGTGTGTATTCAAGTCACAGAGTTGAACCTTCCTTTACACAGAGCAGTTTTGAAAAACTCTTTCTGTGGAATTTGCAAGTGGAGATTTCAAGCGATTTGAGGCTAATCTTTGAAATGGAAATATCTTCGTGTAAAAACTACACAGAATCATTCTCAGAAACTGCTTTGTTATGTGTGCGTTCAGCTCGCAGAGTTCCACCTTTCTTTTCATAGAGCAGTTTGGAAAGACTCTGTCTGTAAAGTCTGCAAGTGATTACTTGGACCCCTTTGAGGACTTCGTTGGAAGCGGTATTTTTTCATTTACTGCTAGACAGAAGAATTCTCAGTAAATCCTTCGTGTTGTGTGTATTCAACTCACAGAGTGGAACCTTCCTTTATTCAGAGCAGTTTTGAAACACTCTTTTTGTGGAATTTGCAAGTGGAGATTTCAAGCGAATTCACGCCAATTTTAGACATGGAAACATCTTCGTATTAAAAGTACACAGAGTCATTCGCAGAAACTAGTTTGTGATGTGTGCCTTCAACTCACGGAGTTTAACCTTTCTTTTCATAGAGCAGTTTGGAAACACTCTATTTGTAAAGTCTGCAAGTGGATATTTGGACCTCTTTGAGGCCTTCGTTGGAAACGGGATTTCTTCATATAACGCTAGACAGAAGAATTCTCAGTAACTTCTTTGTGTTGTGTGTATTCAACTCACAGAGTTGAACCTTTCTTTAGAGAGAGCAGAGTTGAAACACTCTGTTTTTGGAATTTGCAACTGCAGATTTCAAGCGATTCTAGGCCTATGGCAGAAAAGGAAATATCTTCGTATAAAAACTACACAGAATCATTCTCAGAAAACACTTTGTGATGTGTGTGTTCAACTCACAGAGTTTAACCTTTCTTTAATCGAGCAGTTTGGAAATACACTCTTTGTAAGTCTGCAGCTGGATAATTGTCCCTCTATGAGCCCTTCGTTGGAAACGGGATTTCCTCTTATAATGCTAGACAGAAGAATTCTCAGTCACTTCTTTGTGTTGTGTGTATTCAAGTCACAGAGTTGAACCTTCCTTTAGACAGAGCAGTTTTGAAAAATTCTTTCTGTGGAGTTTGCAAGTGGAGATTTCAAGCGATTTGAGGCTAATCTTTGAAATGGAAATATCTTCGTGTAAAAACTACACAGAATCATTCTCAGAAACTGCTTTGTCATCTGTGCGTTCAGTTCACAGAGTTTCACCTTTCTCTTCATAGAGCAGTTTGGAAAGACTCTGTCTGTAAAGTCTGCAAGTGATTAGTTAGACCCCTTTGAGGCCTTCGTTGGAAGCGGGATTTCTCATTTACTGCTAGACAGAAGAATTCTCAGTAAATCCTTTGTGTTGTGTGTATTCAACTCACAGAGTGGAACCTTCCTTTATTCAGAGCAGTTTTGAAACACTCTTTTTGTGGAATTTGCAAGTGGAGATTTCAAGCGAATTCACGCCAATCTTAGACATGGAAACATCTTCGTATTAAAAGTACACAGAGTCATTCGCAGAAACTAGTTTGTGATGTGTGCCTTCAACTCACAGAGTTTAACCTTTCTTTTCATAGAGCAGTTTGGAAACACTCTATTTGTAAAGTCTGCAAGTGGATATTTGGACCTCTTTGAGGCCTTCGTTGGAAACGGGATTTCTTCATATAACGCTAGACAGAAGAATTCTCAGTAACTTCTTTGTGTTGTTTGTATTCAACTCACAGATTTGAACCTTCCTTTAGAGAGAGCAGATTTGAAACACTCTGTTTTTGGAATTTGCAAGTGCAGATTACAAGCGCTTCTAGGCCTATGGCAGAAAAGGAAATATCTTCGTATAAAAACTACACAGAATCATTCTCAACAACTACTTTGTGATGTGTGCGTTCAACTCACAGAGTTTAACCTTTCTTTTCATAGAGCAGTTTGGAAACACTCTGTTTGTAAAGTCTGCAGGTGCTTATTTGGACTTCTTTGAGGCCTTCGTTGGAAACGGGATTTCTTCATGTAATGCTAGACAGAAGAATTCTCAGTCACTTCTTTGTGTTGTGTGTATTCAAGTCACAGAGTTGAACCTTCCTTTAGACAGAGCAGTTTTGAAAAATTCTTTCTGTGTAGTTTGCAAGTGGAGATTTCAAGCGATTTGAGGCTAATCTTTGAAATGGAAATATCTTCGTGTAAAAACTACACAGAATCATTCTCAGAAACTGCTTTGTCATCTGTGCGTTCAGTTCACAGAGTTTCACCTTTCTCTTCATAGAGCAGTTTGGAAAGACTCTGTCTGTAAAGTCTGCAAGTGATTAGTTAGACCCCTTTGAGGCCTTCGTTGGAAGCGGGATTTCTCATTTACTGCTAGACAGAAGAATTCTCAGTAAATCCTTTGTGTTGTGTGTATTCAACTCACAGAGTGGAACCTTCCTTTATTCAGAGCAGTTTTGAAACACTCTTTTTGTGGAATTTGCAAGTGGAGATTTCAAGCGAATTCACGCCAATCTTAGACATGGAAACATCTTCGTATTAAAAGTACACAGAGTCATTCGCAGAAACTAGTTTGTGATGTGTGCCTTCAACTCACAGAGTTTAACCTTTCTTTTCATAGAGCAGTTTGGAAACACTCTATTTGTAAAGTCTGCAAGTGGATATTTGGACCTCTTTGAGGCCTTCGTTGGAAACGGGATTTCTTCATATAACGCTAGACAGAAGAATTCTCTGTAACTTCTTTGTGTTGTGTGTATTCCACTCACAGAGTTGAACCTTTCTTGAGAGAGAGCAGAGTTGAAACACTCTGTTTGTGGAATTTGCTAGTGCAGATTTCAAACGCTTCGAAGACAGTGATAGAAAAGGATATATCTTCGTATTAAAACTAGACAAAATCATTCTCAACAACTACTCTGTGATGTGTGCGTTCAACTCACAAAGTTTAACCTTTCTTTTCATAGAGAAGTTTGGAAACACTCTGTTTGTAAAGCCTGCAAGTGCTTTTTTGGACTTCATTGAGGCCTTCGTTGGAAACGGGATTTCTTCATATAATGCTAGACAGAAGAATTCTCAGTAAATCCTTTGTGTTGTGTTTATTCAACTCACAGAGTGGAACCTTCCTTTATTCAGAGCAGTTTTGAAACACTCTTTTTGTGGAATTTGCAAGTGGAGATTTCAAGCGATTTGACTCCAATCTTAGACATGGAAATATCTTCATATTAAAAGTACACAGAATCATTCTCAGAAACTGCTTTGTCATCTGTGCGTTCAGTTCACACAGTTTCACCTTTCTCTTCATAGAGCAGTTTGGAAAGACTCTGTCTGTAAAGTCTGCAAGTGATTAGTTAGACCCCTTTGAGGCCTTCGTTGGAAGCGGGATTTCTCATTTACTGCTAGACAGAAGAATTCTCAGTAAATCCTTTGTGTTGTGTGTATTCAACTCACAGAGTGGAACCTTCCTTTATTCAGAGCAGTTTTGAAACACTCTTTTTGTGGAATTTGCAAGTGGAGATTTCAAGCGATTTGACGCCAATCTTAGACATGGAAATATCTTCATATTAAAAGTACACAGAGTCATTCGCAGAAACTAGTTTGTGATGTGTGCCTTCAACTCACGGAGTTTAACCTTTCTTTTCATAGAGCAGTTTGGAAACACTCTATTTGTAAAGTCTGCAAGTGGATATTTGGACCTCTTTGAGGCCTTCGTTGGAAACGGGATTTCTTCATATAACGCTAGACAGAAGAATTCACAGTAACTTCCTTGTATTGTTTGTATTCAACTCACAGATTTGAACCTTCCTTTAGAGAGAGCAGATTTGAAACACTCTGTTTTTGGAATTTGCAAGTGCAGATTACAAGCGCTTCTAGGCCTATGGCAGAAAAGGAAATATCTTCGTATAAAAACTACACAGAATCATTCTCAACAACTACTTTGTGATGTGTGCGTTCAACTCACAGAGTTTAACCTTTCTTTTCATAGAGCAGTTTGGAAACACTCTGTTTGTAAAGTCTGCAGGTGCTTATTTGGACTTCTTTGAGGCCTTCGTTGGAAACGGGATTTCTTCATGTAATGCTAGACAGAAGAATTCTCAGTCACTTCTTTGTGTTGTGTGTATTCAAGTCACAGAGTTGAACCATCCTTTACACAGAGCAGTTTTGAAAAACTCTTTCTGTGGAATTTGCAAGTGGAGATTTCAAGCGATTTGAGGCTAATCTTTGAAATGGAAATAGCTTCGTGTAAAAACTACACAGAATCATTCTCAGAAACTGCTTTGTTATGTGTGCGTTCAGCTCACAGAGTTCCACCTTTCTTTTCATAGAGCAGTTTGGAAAGACTCTGTCTGTAAAGTCTGCAAGTGAATACTTGGACCCCTTTGAGGACTTCGTTGGAAGCGGGATTTTTTCATTTACTGCTAGACAGAAGAATTCTCAGTAAATCCTTTGTGTTGTGTGTATTCAACTCACAGAGTGGAACCTTCCTTTATTCAGAGCAGTTTTGAAAAACACTTTTTGTGGAATTTGCAAGTGGAGATTTCAAGCGATTTGACGCCAATCTTAGACATGGAAATATCTTCATATTAAAAGTACACAGAGTCATTCGTAGAAACTAGTTTGTGATGTGTGCCTTCAACTCACAGAGTTTAACCTTTCTTTTCATAGAGCAGTTGGGAAACACTCTATTTGTAAAGTCTGCAAGTGGATATTTGGACCTCTTTGAGGCCTTCGTTGGAAACGGGATTTCTTCATATAACGCTAGACAGAAGAATTCTCAGTAACTTCTTTGTGTTGTGTGTATTCAACTCACAGAGTTGAACCTTTCTTGAGAGAGAGCAGAGTTGAAACACTCTTTCTGTGGAATTTGCTAGTGCAGATTTCAAACGCTTCGAAGACAGTGATAGAAAAGGATATATCTTCGTATTAAAACTAGACAAAATCATTCTCAACAACTACTTTGTGATGTGTGCGTTCAGCTCACAGAGTTTAACCTTTCTTTTCATAGAGCAGTTTGGAAACACTCTGTTTGTAAAGTCTGCAGGTGCTTATTTGGACTTCTTTGAGGCCTTCGTTGGAAACGGGATTTCTTCATATAATGCTAGACAGAAGAATTCTCAGTCACTTCTTTGTGTTGTGTGTATTCAAGTCACAGAGTTGAACCTTCCTTTAGACAGAGCAGTTTTGAAAAATTCTTTCTGTGGAGTTTGCAAGTGGAGATTTCAAGCGATTTGAGGCTAATCTTTGAAATGGAAATATCTTCGTGTAAAAACTACACAGAATCATTCTCAGAAACTGCTTTGTTATGTGTGCGTTCAACTCACAGAGTTTAACCTTTCTTTTCATAGAGCAGTTTGGAAAGACTCTGTCTGTAAAGTCTGCAAGTGATTACTTGGACCCCTTTGAGGACTTCGTTGGAAGCGGGATTTTTTCATTTACTGCTAGACAGAAGAATTCTCAGTAAATCCTTTGTGTTGTGTGTATTCAACTCACAGAGTGGAACCTTCCTTTATTCAGAGCAGTTTTGAAAAACACTTTTTCTGGAATTTGCAAGTGGAGATTTCAAGCGATTTGACGCCAATCTTAGACATGGAAATATCTTCATATTAAAAGTACACAGAATCATTCTCAGAAAACTCTTTGTGATGTGTGTGTTCAACTCACAGAGTTTAACCTTTCTTTAATCGAGCAGTTTGGAAATACACTCTTTGTAAGTCTGCTGGTGGATATTTGGCCCTCTTTGAGCCCTTCGTTGGAAACGGGATTTCCTCATATAATGCTAGACAGAAGAATTCTCAGTAACTTCTTTGTGTTGTGTGTATTCAACTCACAGAGTTGAACCTTTCTTTAGAGAGAGCAGAGTTGAAACACTCTGTTTTTGGAATTTGCAACTGCAGATTTCAAGCGATTCTAGGCCTATGGCAGAAAAGGAAATATCTTCGTATAAAAACTACACAGAATCATTCTCAACAACTACTTTGTGATGTGTGCGTTCAACTCACAGAGTTTAACCTTTCTTTTCATAGAGCAGTTTGGAAACACTCTGTTTGTAAAGCCTGCAAGTGCTTTTTTGGACTTCATTGAGGCCTTCGTTGGAAACGGGATTTCTTCATATAATGCTAGACAGAAGAATTCTCAGTCACTTCTTTGTGTTGTGTGTATTCAAGTCACAGAGCTGAACCTTCCTTTACACAGAGCAGTTTTGAAAACCTCTTTCTGTGGAATTTGCAAGTGGAGATTTCAAGCGATTTGAGGCTAATCTTTGAAATGGAAATATCTTCGTGTAAAAACTACACAGAATCATTCTCAGAAACTGCTTTGTCATCTGTGCGTTCAGTTCACAGAGTTTCACCTTTCTCTTCATAGAGCAGTTTGGAAAGACTCTGTCTGTAAAGTCTGCAAGTGATTAGTTAGACCCCTTTGAGGCCTTCGTTGGAAGCGGGATTTCTCATTTACTGCTAGACAGAAGAATTCTCAGTAAATCCTTCGTGTTGTGTGTATTCAACTCACAGAGTGGAACCTTCCTTTATTCAGAGCAGTTTTGAAACACTCTTTTTGTGGAATTTGCAAGTGCAGATTTCAAGCGAATTCACGCCAATCTTAGACATGGAAACATCTTCGTATTAAAAGTACACAGAGTCATTCGCAGAAACTAGTTTGTGATGTGTGCCTTCAACTCACAGAGTTTAACCTTTCTTTTCATAGAGCAGTTTGGAAACACTCTATTTGTAAAGTCTGCAAGTGGATATTTGGACCTCTTTGAGGCCTTCGTTGGAAACGGGATTTCTTCATATAACGCTAGACAGAAGAATTCTCAGTAACTTCTTTGTGTTGTTTGTATTCAACTCACAGATTTGAACTTTCCTTTAGAGAGAGCAGATTTGAAACACTCTGTTTTTGGAATTTGCAAGTGCAGATTGCAAGCGCTTCTAGGCCTATGGCAGAAAAGGAAATATCTTCGTATAAAAACTACACAGAATCATTCTCAACAACTAGTTTGTGATGTGTGCGTTCAACTCACAGAGTTTAACCTTTCTTTTCATAGAGCAGTTTGGAAACACTCTGTTTGTAAAGTCTGCAGGTGCTTATTTGGACTTCTTTGAGGCCTTCGTTGGAAACGGGATTTCTTCATATAATGCTAGACAGAAGAATTCTCAGTCACTTCTTTGTGTTGTGTGTATTCAAGTCACAGAGTTGAACCTTCCTTTACACAGAGCAGTTTTGAAAAACTCTTTCTGTGGAATTTGCAAGTGGAGATTTCAAGCGATTTGAGGCTAATCTTTGAAATGGAAATATCTTCGTGTAAAAACTACACAGAATCATTCTCAGAAACTGCTTTGTCATCTGTGCGTTCAGTTCACAGAGTTTCACCTTTCTCTTCATAGAGCAGTTTGGAAAGACTCTGTCTGTAAAGTCTGCAAGTGATTAGTTAGACCCCTTTGAGGCCTTCGTTGGAAGCGGGATTTCTCATTTACTGCTAGACAGAAGAATTCTCAGTAAATCCTTTGTGTTGTGTGTATTCAACTCACAGAGTGGAACCTTCCTTTATTCAGAGCAGTTTTGAAACACTCTTTTTGTGGAATTTGCAAGTGGAGATTTCAAGCGATTTGACGCCAATCTTAGACATGGAAATATCTTCATATTAAAAGTACACAGAGTCATTCGTAGAAACTAGTTTGTGATGTGTGCCTTCAACTCACAGAGTTTAACCTTTCTTTTCATAGAGCAGTTGGGAAACACTCTATTTGTAAAGTCTGCAAGTGGATATTTGGACCTCTTTGAGGCCTTCGTTGGAAACGGGATTTCTTCATATAACGCTAGACAGAAGAATTCTCAGTAACTTCTTTGTGTTGTTTGTATTCAACTCACAGATTTGAACCTTCCTTTAGAGAGAGCAGATTTGAAAGACTCTGTTTTTGGAATTTGCAAGTGCAGATTACAAGCGCTTCTAGGCCTATGGCAGAAAAGGAAATATCTTCGTATAAAAACTACACAGAATCATTCTCAACAACTACTTTGTGATGTGTGCGTTCAACTCACAGAGTTTAACCTTTCTTTTCATAGAGCAGTTTGGAAACACTCTGTTTGTAAAGCCTGCAAGTGCTTTTTTGGACTTCATTGAGGCCTTCGTTGGAAACGGGATTTCTTCATGTAATGCTAGACAGAAGAATTCTCAGTCACTTCTTTGTGTTGTGTGTATTCAAGTCACAGAGTTGAACCTTCCTTTAGACAGAGCAGTTTTGAAAAATTCTTTCTGTGTAATTTGCAAGTGGAGATTTCAAGCGATTTGAGGCTAATCTTTGAAATGGAAATATCTTCGTGTAAAAACTACACAGAAATCATTCTCAGAAACTGCTTTGTTATGTGTGCGTTCAGCTCACAGAGTTCCACCTTTCTTTTCATAGAGCAGTTTGGAAAGACTCTGTCTGTAAAGTCTGCAAGTGATTACTTGGACCCCTTTGAGGACTTCGTTGGAAGCGGGATTTTTTCATTTACTGCCAGACAGAAGAATTCTCAGTAAATCCTTTGTGTTGTGTGTATTCAACTCACAGAGTGGAACCTTCCTTTATTCAGAGCAGTTTTGAAACACTGTTTTTGTGGAATTTGCAAGTGGAGATTTCAAGCGAATTCACGCCAATCTTAGACATGGAAACATCTTCGTATTAAAAGTACACAGAGTCATTCGCAGAAACTAGTTTGTGATGTGTGCGTTCAACTCACAGAGTTTAACCTTTCTTTTCATAGAGCAGTTTGGAAACACTCTGTTTGTAAAGTCTGCAGGTGCTTATTTGGACTTCTTTGAGGCCTTCGTTGGAAACGGGATTTCTTCATATAATGCTAGACAGAAGAATTCTCAGTCACTTCTTTGTGTTGTGTGTATTCAAGTCACAGAGTTGAACCTTCCTTTAGACAGAGCAGTTTTGAAAAATTCTTTCTGTGGAGTTTGCAAGTGGAGATTTCAAGCGATTTGAGGCTAATCTTTGAAATGGAAATATCTTCGTGTAAAAACTACACAGAATCATTCTCAGAAACTGCTTTGTTATGTGTGCGTTCAGCTCACAGAGTTCCACCTTTCTCTTCATAGAGCAGTTTGGAAAGACTCTGTCTGTAAAGTCTGCAAGTGATTACTTGGACCCCTTTGAGGACTTCGTTGGAAGCGGGATTTTTTCATTTACTGCTAGACAGAAGAATTCTCAGTAAATCCTTTGTGTTGTGTGTATTCAACTCACAGAGTGGAACCTTCCTTTATTCAGAGCACTTTTGAAACACTCTTTTTGTGGAATTTGCAAGTGGAGATTTCAAGCGAATTCACGCCAATCTTAGACATGGAAACATCTTCGTATTAAAAGTACACAGAGTCATTCGCAGAAACTAGTTTGTGATGTGTGCCTTCAACTCACAGAGTTTAACCTTTCTTTTCATAGAGCAGTTTGGAAACACTCTATTTGTAAAGTCTGCAAGTGGATATTTGGACCTCTTTGAGGCCTTCGTTGGAAACGGGATTTCTTCATATAACGCTAGACAGAAGAATTCTCTGTAACTTCTTTGTGTTGTGTGTATTCCACTCACAGAGTTGAACCTTTCTTGAGAGAGAGCAGATTTGAAACACTCTTTCTGTGGAATTTGCTAGTGCAGATTTCAAACGCTTCGAAGACAGTGATAGAAAAGGATATATCTTCGTATTAAAACTAGACAAAATCATTCTCAGAAAACTCTTTGTGATGTGTGTGTTCAACTCACAGAGTTTAACCTTTCTTTAATCGAGCAGTTTGGAAATACACTCTTTGTAAGTCTGCAGGTGGATATTTGGCCCTCTTTGAGCCCTTCGTTGGAAACGGGATTTCCTCATATAATGCTAGACAGAAGAATTCTCAGTCACTTCTTTGTGTTGTGTGTATTCAAGTCACAGAGTTGAACCTTCCTTTAGACAGAGCAGTTTTGAAAAATTCTTTCTGTGGAGTTTGCAAGTGGAGATTTCAAGCGATTTGAGGCTAATCTTTGAAATGGAAATATCTTCGTGTAAAAACTACACAGAATCATTCTCAGAAACTGCTTTGTCATCTGTGCGTTCAGTTCACAGAGTTTCACCTTTCTCTTCATAGAGCAGTTTGGAAAGACTCTGTCTGTAAAGTCTGCAAGTGATTAGTTAGACCCCTTTGAGGCCTTCGTTGGAAGCGGGATTTCTCATTTACTGCTAGACAGAAGAATTCTCAGTAAATCCTTTGTGTTGTGTGTATTCAACTCACAGAGTGGAACCTTCCTTTATTCAGAGCAGTTTTGAAACACTCTTTTTGTGGAATTTGCAAGTGGAGATTTCAAGCGAATTCACGCCAATCTTAGACATGGAAACATCTTCGTATTAAAAGTACACAGAGTCATTCGCAGAAACTAGTTTGTGATGTGTGCCTTCAACTCACGGAGTTTAACCTTTCTTTTCATAGAGCAGTTTGGAAACACTCTATTTGTAAAGTCTGCAAGTGGATATTTGGACCTCTTTGAGGCCTTCGTTGGAAACGGGATTTCTTCATATAACGCTAGACAGAAGAATTCTCAGTAACTTCTTTGTGTTGTGTGTATTCAACTCACAGAGTTGAACCTTTCTTGAGAGAGAGCAGAGTTGAAACACTCTGTTTGTGGAATTTGCTAGTGCAGATTTCAAACGCTTCGAAGACAGTGATAGAAAAGGATATATCTTCGTATTAAAACTAGACAAAATCATTCTCAGAAAACACTTTGTGATGTGTGTGTTCAACTCACAGAGTTTAACCTTTCTTTAATCGAGCAGTTTGGAAATACACTCTTTGTAAGTCTGCAGCTGGATAATTGTCCCTCTATGAGCCCTTCGTTGGAAACGGGATTTCCTCTTATAATGCTAGACAGAAGAATTCTCAGTCACTTCTTTGTGTTGTGTGTATTCAAGTCACAGAGTTGAACCTTCCTTTAGACAGAGCAGTTTTGAAAAATTCTTTCTGTGGAGTTTGCAAGTGGAGATTTCAAGCGATTTGAGGCTAATCTTTGAAATGGAAATATCTTCGTGTAAAAACTACACAGAATCATTCTCAGAAACTGCTTTGTCATCTGTGCGTTCAGTTCACAGAGTTTCACCTTTCTCTTCATAGAGCAGTTTGGAAAGACTCTGTCTGTAAAGTCTGCAAGTGATTAGTTAGACCCCTTTGAGGCCTTCGTTGGAAGCGGGATTTCTCATTTACTGCTAGACAGAAGAATTCTCAGTAAATCCTTTGTGTTGTGTGTATTCAACTCACAGAGTGGAACCTTCCTTTATTCAGAGCAGTTTTGAAACACTCTTTTTGTGGAATTTGCAAGTGGAGATTTCAAGCGATTTGACGCCAATCTTAGACATGGAAATATCTTCATATTAAAAGTACACAGAGTCATTCGCAGAAACTAGTTTGTGATGTGTGCCTTCAACTCACAGAGTTTAACCTTTCTTTTCATAGAGCAGTTTGGAAACACTCTATTTGGAAAGTCTGCAAGTGGATATTTGGACCTCTTTGAGGCCTTCGTTGGAAACGGGATTTCTTCATATAACGCTAGACAGAAGAATTCTCAGTAACTTCTTTGTGTTGTTTGTATTCAACTCACAGATTTGAACCTTCCTTTAGAGAGAGCAGATTTGAAACACTCTGTTTTTGGAATTTGCAAGTGCAGATTACAAGCGCTTCTAGGCCTATAGCAGAAAAGGAAATATCTTCGTATAAAAACTACACAGAATCATTCTCAACAACTACTTTGTGATGTGTGCGTTCAACTCACAAAGTTTAACCTTTCTTTTCATAGAGCAGTTTGGAAACACTCTGTTTGTAAAGCCTGCAATTGCTTTTTTGGACTTCATTGAGGCCTTCGTTGGAAACGGGATTTCTTCATATAATCCTAGACAGAAGAATTCTCAGTCACTTCTTTGTGTTGTGTGTATTCAAGTCACAGAGTTGAACCTTCCTTTAGACAGAGCAGTTTTGAAAAATTCTTTCTGTGGAGTTTGCAAGTGGAGATTTCAAGCGATTTGAGGCTAATCTTTGAAATGGAAATATCTTCGTGTAAAAACTACACAGAATCATTCTCTGAAACTGCTTTGTCATCTGTGCGTTCAGTTCACAGAGTTTCACCTTTCTCTTCATAGAGCAGTTTGGAAAGACTCTGTCTGTAAAGTCTGCAAGTGATTAGTTAGACCCCTTTGAGGCCTTCGTTGGAAGCGGGATTTCTCATTTACTGCTAGACAGAAGAATTCTCAGTAAATCCTTTGTGTTGTGTTTATTCAACTCACAGAGTGGAACTTTCCTTTATTCAGAGCAGTTTTGAAACACTCTTTTTGTGGAATTTGCAAGTGGAGATTTCAAGCGATTTGACGCCAATCTTAGACATGGAAATATCTTCATATTAAAAGTACACAGAGTCATTCGCAGAAACTAGTTTGTGATGTGTGCCTTCAACTCACGGAGTTTAACCTTTCTTTTCATAGAGCAGTTTGGAAACACTCTATTTGTAAAGTCTGCAAGTGGATATTTGGACCTCTTTGAGGCCTTCGTTGGAAACGGGATTTCTTCATATAACGCTAGACAGAAGAATTCTCAGTAACTTCTTTGTGTTGTGTGTATTCAACTCACAGAGTTGAACCTTTCTTTAGAGGGAGCAGAGGTGAAACACTCTTTTTGTGGAATTTGCTAGTGTAGATTTCAAACGCTTCGAAGACAGTGATAGAAAAGGATATATCTTCGTATTAAAAGTAGACAAAATCATTCTCAACAACTACTTTGTGATGTGTGCGTTCAACTCACAGAGTTTAACCTTTCTTTTCATAGAGCAGTTTGGAAACACTCTGTTTGTAAAGTCTGCAGGTGCTTATTTGGACTTCTTTGAGGCCTTCGTTGGAAACGGGATTTCTTCATGTAATGCTAGACAGAAGAATTCTCAGTCACTTCTTTGTGTTGTGTGTATTCAAGTCACAGAGTTGAACCTTCCTTTAGACAGAGCAGTTTTGAAAAATTCTTTCTGTGGAGTTTGCAAGTGGAGATTTCAAGCGATTTGAGGCTAATCTTTGAAATGGAAATATCTTCGTGTAAAAACTACACAGAATCATTCTCAGAAACTGCTTTGTTATGTGTGCGTTCAGCTCACAGAGTTCCACCTTTCTTTTCATAGAGCAGTTTGGAAAGACTCTGTCTGTAAAGTCTGCAAGTGATTACTTGGACCCCTTTGAGGACTTCGTTGGAAGCGGGATTTTTTCATTTACTGCTAGACAGAAGAATTCTCAGTAAATCCTTTGTGTTGTGTGTATTCAACTCACAGAGTGGAACCTTCCTTTATTCAGAGCAGTTTTGAAACACTCTTTTTGTGGAATTTGCAAGTGGAGATTTCAAGCGAATTCACGCCAATCTTAGACATGGAAACATCTTCGTATTAAAAGTACACAGAGTCATTTGTAGAAACTAGATTGTGATGTGTGCCTTCAACTCACAGAGTTTAACCTTTCTTTTCATAGAGCAGTTTGGAAACACTCTATTTGTAAAGTCTGCAAGTGGATATTTGGACCACTTTGAGGCCTTCGTTGGAAACGGGATTTCTTCATATAACGCTAGACAGAAGAATTCTCTGTAACTTCTTTGTGTTGTGTGTATTCAACTCACAGAGTTGAACCTTTCTTGAGAGAGAGCAGAGTTGAAACACTCTGTTTGTGGAATTTGATAGTGCAGATTTCAAACGCTTCGAAGACAGTGATAGAAAAGGATATATCTTCGTATTAAAACTAGACAAAATCATTCTCAGAAAACACTTTGTGATGTGTGTGTTCAACTCACAGAGTTTAACCTTTCTGTAATCGAGCAGTTTGGAAATACACTCTTTGTAAGTCTGCAGGTGGATAATTGTCCCTCTATGAGCCCTTCGTTGGAAACGGGATTTCCTCATATAATGCTAGACAGAAGAATTCTCAGTCACTTCTTTGTGTTGTGTGTATTCAAGTCACAGAGTTGAACCTTCCTTTACACAGAGCAGTTTTGAAAAACTCTTTCTGTGGAATTTGCAAGTGGAGATTTCAAGCGATTTGAGGCTAATCTTTGAAATGGAAATAGCTTCGTGTAAAAACTACACAGAATCATTGTCAGAAACTGCTTTGTTATGTGTGCGTTCAGCTCACAGAGTTCCACCTTTCTTTTCATAGAGCAGTTTGGAAAGACTCTGTCTGTAAAGTCTGCAAGTGATTACTTGGACCCCTTTGAGGACTTCGTTGGAAGCGGGATTTTTTCATTTACTGCTAGACAGAAGAATTCTCAGTAAATCCTTTGTGTTGTGTGTATTCAACTCACAGAGTGGAACCTTCCTTTATTCAGAGCAGTTTTGAAACACTCTTTTTGTGGAATTTGCAAGTGGAGATTTCAAGCGATTTGACGCCAATCTTAGACATGGAAATATCTTCATATTAAAAGTACACAGAGTCATTCGCAGAAACTAGTTTGTGATGTGTGCCTTCAACTCACAGAGTTTAACCTTTCTTTTCATAGAGCAGTTTGGAAACACTCTATTTGTAAAGTCTGCAAGTGGATATTTGGACCTCTTTGAGGCCTTCGTTGGAAACGGGATTTCTTCATATAACGCTAGACAGAAGAATTCTCAGTAACTTCTTTGTGTTGTTTTTATTCAACTCACAGATTTGAACCTTCCTTTAGAGAGAGCAGATTTGAAACACTCTGGTTTTGGAATTTGCAAGTGCAGATTACAAGCGCTTCTAGGCCTATGGCAGAAAAGGAAATATCTTCGTATAAAAACTACACAGAATCATTCTCAGAAAACTCTTTGTGATGTGTGTGTTCAACTCACAGCAGTTTAACCTTTCTTTAATCGAGCAGTTTGGAAATACACTCTTTGTAAGTCTGCAGGTGGATATTTGGCCCTCTTTGAGCCCTTCGTTGGAAACGGGATTTCCTCATATAATGCTAGACAGAAGAATTCTCAGTCACTTCCTTGTGTTGTGTGTATTCAAGTCACAGAGTTGAACCTTCCTTTACACAGAGCAGTTTTGAAAAACTCTTTCTGTGGAATTTGCAAGTGGAGATTTCAAGCGATTTGAGGCTAATCTTTGAAATGGAAATAGCTTCGTGTAAAAACTACACAGAATCATTGTCAGAAACTGCTTTGTTATGTGTGCGTTCAGCTCACAGAGTTCCACCTTTCTTTTCATAGAGCAGTTTGGAAAGACTCTGTCTGTAAAGTCTGCAAGTGATTACTTGGACCCCTTTGAGGACTTCGTTGGAAGCGGGATTTTTTCATTTACTGCTAGACAGAAGAATTCTCAGTAAATCCTTTGTGTTGTGTGTATTCAACTCACAGAGTGGAACCTTCCTTTATTCAGAGCAGTTTTGAAACACTCTTTTTGTGGAATTTGCAAGTGGAGATTTCAAGCGATTTGACGCCAATCTTAGACATGGAAATATCTTCATATTAAAAGTACACAGAATCATTCGTAGAAACTAGTTTGTGATGTGTGCCTTCAACTCACAGAGTTTAACCTTTCTTTTCATAGAGCAGTTCGGAAACATTCTATTTGTAAAGTCTGCAAGTGGATATTTGGACCTCTTTGAGGCCTTCGTTGGAAAAGGGATTTCTTCATATAACACTAGACAGAAGAATTCTCAGTAACTTCTTTGTGTTGTGTGTATTCAACTCACAGAGTTGAACCTTTCTTTAGAGAGAGCAGAGTTGAAACACTCTTTTTGTGGAATTTGCTAGTGCAGATTTCAAACGCTTCGAAGACAGTGATAGAAAAGGATATATCTTCGTATTAAAACTAGCCAAAATCATTCTCAACAACTACTTTGTGATGTGTGCAGTTCAGCTCACAGAGTTTAACCTTTCTTTTCATAGAGCAGTTTGGAAACACTCTGTTTGTAAAGTCTGCAGGTGCTTATTTGGACTTCTTTGAGGCCTTCGTTGGAAACGGGATTTCTTCATATAATGCTAGACAGAAGAATTCTCAGTCACTTCTTTGTGTTGTGTGTATTCAAGTCACAGAGTTGAACCTTCCTTTAGACAGAGCAGTTTTGAAAAATTCTTTCTGTGGAGTTTGCAAGTGGAGATTTCAAGCGATTTGAGGCTAATCTTTGAAATGGAAATATCTTCGTGTAAAAACTACACAGAATGATTCTCAGAAACTGCTTTGTTATGTGTGCGTTCAGCTCACAGAGTTCCACCTTTCTTTTCATAGAGCAGTTTGGAAAGACTCTGTCTGTAAAGTCTGCAAGTGATTACTTGGACCCCTTTGAGGACTTCGTTGGAAGCGGGATTTTTTCATTTACTGCTAGACAGAAGAATTCTCAGTCAATCCTTTGTGTTGTGTGTATTCAACTCACAGAGTGGAACCTTCCTTTATTCAGAGCAGTTTTGAAAAACACTTTTTGTGGAATTTGCAAGTGGAGATTTCAAGCGATTTGACGCCAATCTTAGACATGGAAATATCTTCATATTAAAAGTACACAGAGTCATTCGTAGAAACTAGTTTGTGATGTATGCCTTCAACTCACAGAGTTTAACCTTTCTTTTCATAGAGCAGTTTGGAAACACTCTATTTGTAAAGTCTGCAAGTGGATATTTGGACCTCTTTGAGGCCTTCATTGGAAACGGGATTTCTTCATACAACGCTAGACAGAAGAATTCTCAGTAACTTCTTTGTGTTGTGTGTATTCAACTCATAGAGTTGAACCTTTCTTTAGAGGGAGCAGAGGTGAAACACTCTTTTTGTGGAATTTGCTAGTGTAGATTTCAAACGCTTCGCAGACTGTGATAGAAAAGGATATATCTTCGTATTAAAAGTACACAAAATCATTCTCAGAAAACTCTTTGTGATGTGTGTGTTCAACTCACAGAGTTTAACCTTTCTTTAATCGAGCAGTTTGGAAATACACTCTTTGTAAGTCTGCAGGTGGATATTTGGCCCTCTTTGAGCCCTTCGTTGGAAACGGGATTTCCTCATATAATGCTAGACAGAAGAATTCTCAGTAACTTCTTTGTGTTGTTTGTATTCAACACACAGATTTGAACCTTCCTTTAGAGAGAGCAGATTTGAAACACTCTGTTTTTGGAATTAGCAAGTGCAGATTTCAAGCGCTTCTAGGCCTATGGCAGAAAAGGAAATATCTTCGTATAAAAACTACACAGAATCATTCTCAACAACTACTTTGTGATGTGTGCGTTCAACTCACAGAGGTTAACCTTTCTTTTCATAGAGCAGTTTGGAAACACTCTGTTTGGAAAGCCTGCAAGTGCTTTTTTGGACTTCATTGAGGCCTTCGTTGGAAACGGGATTTCTTCATACAACGCTAGACAGAAGAATTCTCAGTAACTTCTTTGTGTTGTGTGTATTCAACTCACAGAGTTGAACCTTTCTTTAGAGAGAACAGAGTTGAAACACTCTGTTTTTGGAATTTGCAAGTGCAGATTTCAAGCGATTCTAGGCCTATGGCAGAAAAGAAAATATCTTCGTATAAAAACTACACAGAATCATTCTCAGAAAACACTTTGTGATGTGTGTGTTCAACTCACAGAGTTTAACCTTTCTTTAATCGAGCAGTTTGGAAATACACTCTTTGTAAAGTCTGCAAGTGGATAATTGGCCCTCTTTGAGCCCTTTGTTGGAAACGGGATTTCCACATATAGTGCTAGACAGAAGAATTCTCAGTAACTTCTTTGTGTTGTTTGTATTCAACTCACAGATTTGAACCTTCCTTTAGAGAGAGCAGATTTGAAACACTCTGTTTTTGGAATTTGCAAGTGCAGATTTCAAGCGCTTACTAGGCCTATGGCAGAAAAGGAAATATCTTCGTATAAAAACTACACAGAATCATTCTCAACAACTACTTTGTGATGTGTGCGTTCAGCTCACAGAGTTTAACCTTTGTTTTCATAGAGCAGTTTGGAAACACTCTGTTTGTAAAGTCTGCAGGTGCTTATTTGGACTTCTTTGAGGCCTTCGTTGGAAACGGGATTTCTTCATATAATGCTAGACAGAAGAATTCTCAGTCACTTCTTTGTGTTGTGTGTATTCAAGTCACAGAGTTGAACCTTCCTTTAGACAGAGCAGTTTTGAAAAATTCTTTCTGTGGAGTTTGCAAGTGGAGATTTCAAGCGATTTGAGGCTAATCTTTGAAATGGAAATATCTTCGTGTAAAAACTACACAGAATCATTCTCAGAAACTGCTTTGTTATGTGTGCGTTCAGCTCACAGAGTTCCACCTTTCTTTTCATAGAGCAGTTTGGAAAGACTCTGTCTGTAAAGTCTGCAAGTGATTACTTGGACCCCTTTGAGGACTTCGTTGGAAGCGGGATTTTTTCATTTACTGCTAGACAGAAGAATTCTCAGTAAATCCTTCGTGTTGTGTGTATTCAACTCACAGAGTGGAACCTTCCTTTATTCAGAGCAGTTTTGAAACACTCTTTTTGTGGAATTTGCAAGTGGAGATTTCAAGCGAATTCACGCCAATCTTAGACATGGAAACATCTTCGTATTAAAAGTACACAGAGTCATTCGCAGAAACTAGTTTGTGATGTGTGCCTTCAACTCACAGAGTTTAACCTTTCTTTTCATAGAGCAGTTTGGAAACACTCTATTTGTAAAGTCTGCAAGTGGATATTTGGACGTCTTTGCGGCCTTCGTTGGAAACGGGATTTCTTCATATAACGCTAGACAGAAGAATTCTCAGTAACTTCTTTGTGTTGTGTGTATTCCACTCACAGAGTTGAACCTTTCTTGAGAGAGAGCAGAGTTGAAACACTCTGTTTGTGGAATTTGCTATTGCCGATTTCAAACGCTTCGAAGACAGTGATAGAAAAGGATATATCTTCGTATTAAAACTAGACAAAATCATTCTCAACAACTACTTTGTGATGTGTGCGTTCAACTCACAGAGTTTAACCTTTCTTTTCATAGAGCAGTTTGGAAACACTCTGTTTGTAAAGTCTGCAGGTGCTTATTTGGACTTCTTTGAGGCCTTCGTTGGAAACGGGATTTCTTCATATAATGCTAGACAGAAGAATTCTCAGTCACTTCTTTGTGTTGTGTGTATTCAAGTCACAGAGTTGAACCTTCCTTTAGACAGAGCAGTTTTGAAAAATTCTTTCTGTGTAATTTGCAAGTGGAGATTTCAAGCGATTTGAGGCTAATCTTTGAAATGGAAATATCTTCGTGTAAAAACTACACAGAATCATTCTCAGAAACTGCTTTGTTATGTGTGCGTTCAGCTCACAGAGTTCCACCTTTCTTTTCATAGAGCAGTTTGGAAAGACTCTGTCTGTAAAGTCTGCAAGTGATTACTTGGACCCCTTTGAGGACTTCGTTGGAAGCGGGATTTTTTCATTTACTGCTAGACAGAAGAATTCTCAGTAAATCATTTGTGTTGCGTTTATTCAACTCACAGAGTGGAACCTTCCTTTATTCAGAGCAGTTTTGAAACACTCTTTTTGTGGAATTTGCAAGTGGAGATTTCAAGCGATTTGACGCCAATCTTAGACATGGAAATATCTTCATATTAAAAGTACACAGAGTCATTCGCAGAAACTAGTTTGTGATGTGTGCCTTCAACTCACAGAGTTTAACCTTTCTTTTCATAGAGCAGTTTGGAAACACTCTATTTGTAAAGTCTGCAAGTGGATATTTGGACCTCTTTGAGGCCTTCGTTGGAAACGGGATTTCTTCATATAACGCTAGACAGAAGAATTCTCAGTAACTTCTTTGTGTTGTTTGTATTCAACACACAGATTTGAACCTTCCTTTAGAGAGAGCAGATTTGAAACACTCTGTTTTTGGAATTTGCAAGTGCAGATTTCAAGCGCTTCTAGGCCTATGGCAGAAAAGGAAATATACTTCGTATAAAAACTACACAGAATCATTCTCAGAAACTACTTTGTGATGTGTGTGTTGAACTCACAGAGTTTAACCTTTCTTTTCATAGAGCAGTTTGGAAACACTCTGTTTGTAAAGCCTGCAAGTGGATATTTGGACCTCTTGGAGGCCTTCATTGGAAACGGGATTTCTTCATATAATGCTAGACAGAAGAATTCTCAGTCACTTCTTTGTGTTGTGTGTATTCAAGTCACAGAGTTGAACCTTCTTTTAGACAGAGCAGTTTTGGAAAATTCTTTCTGCGGAATTTGCAAGTGGAGATTTCAAGCGATTTGAGGCTAATCTTTGAAATGGAAATATCTTCGTGTCAAAACTACACAGATTCATTCTCAGAAACTGCTTTGTCATCTGTGCGTTCAGTTCACAGAGTTTCACCTTTCTCTTCATAGAGCAGTTTGGAAAGACTCTGTCTGTAAAGTCTGCAAGTGATTAGTTAGACCCCATTGAGGCCTTCGTTGGAAGCGGGATTTCTCATTTACTGCTAGACAGAAGAATTCTCAGTAAATCCTTTGTGTTGTGTGCATGCAACTCACAGAGTTGAACCTTCCTTTATTCAGAGCAGTTTTGAAAAACACTTTTTGTGGAATTTGGAAGTGGAGATTTCAAGCGATTTGACGCCAATCTTAGACATGGAAATATCTTCATATTAAAAGTACACAGAGTCATTCGCAGAATCTTGTTTGTGATGTGTGCCTTCAACTCACAGAGTTTAACCTTTCTTTTCATAGAGCAGTTTGGAAACACTCTATTTGTAAAGTCTGCAAGTGGATATTTGGACCTCTCTGAGGCCTTCGTTGGAAACGGGATTTCTTCATATAATGCTAGACAGAAGAATTCTCAGTAACTTCTTTGTGTTGTTTGTATTCAACTCACAGATTTGAACCTTCCTTTAGAGAGAGCAGATTTGAAACACTCTGTTTTTGGAATTTGCAAGTGCAGATTACAAGCGCTTCTAGGCCTATGGCAGAAAAGGAAATATCTTCGTATAAAAACTACACAGAATCATTCTCAACAACTACTTTGTGATGTGTGCGTTCAACTCACAGAGTTTAACCTTTCTTTTCATAGAGCAGTTTGGAAACACTCTGTTTGTAAAGCCTGCAAGTGCTTTTTTGGACTTCATTGAGGCCTTCGTTGGAAACGGGATTTCTTCATATAATGCTAGACAGAGGAATTCTCAGTCACTTCTTTGTGTTGTGTGTATTCAAGTCACAGGGTTGAACCTTCCTTTAGACAGAGCAGTTTTGAAAAATTCTTTCTGTGGAGTTTGCAAGTGGAGATTTCAAGCGATTTGAGGCTAATCTTTGAAATGGAAATATCTTCGTGTAAAAACTACACAGAATCATTCTCAGAAACTGCTTTGTTATGTGTGCGTTCAGCTCGCAGAGTTCCACCTTTCTTTTCATAGAGCAGTTTGGAAAGACTCTGTCTGTAAAGTCTGCAAGTGATTACTTGGACCCCTTTGAGGACTTCGTTGGAAGCGGTATTTTTTCATTTACTGCTAGACAGAAGAATTCTCAGTAAATCCTTTGTGTTGTGTGTATTCAACTCACAGAGTGGAACCTTCCTTTATTCAGAGCACTTTTGAAACACTCTTTTTGTGGAAATTGCAAGTGGAGATTTCAAGCGAATTCACGCCAATCTTAGACATGGAAACATCTTCGTATTGAAAGTACACAGAATCATTCTCAGAAAACACTTTGTGATGTGTGTGTTCAACTCACAGAGTTTAACCTTTCTTTAATCGAGCAGTTTGGAAATGCACTCTTTGTAAGTCTGCAGGTGGATAATTGTCCCTCTATGAGCCCTTCGTTGGAAACGGGATTTCCTCATATAATGCTAGACAGAAGTATTCTCAGTAACTTCTTTGTGTTGTTTGTATTCAACTCACAGATTTGAAACTTCCTTTAGAGAGAGCAGATTTGAAACACTCTGTTTTTGGAATTTGCAAGTGCAGATTGCAAGCGCTTCTAGGCCTATGGCAGAAAAGGAAATATCTTCGTATAAAAACTACACAGAATCATTCTCAACAACGACTTTGTGATGTGTGCGTTCAACTCACAGAGTTTAACCTTTCTTTTCATAGAGCAGTTTGGAAACACTCTGTTTGTAAAGCCTGCAAGTGCTTTTTTGGACTTCATTGAGGCCTTCGTTGGAAACGGGATTTCTTCATGTAATGCTAGACAGAAGAATTCTCAGTCACTTCTTTGTGTTGTGTGTATTCAAGTCACAGAGTTGAACCTTCCTTTAGACAGAGCAGTTTTGAAAAATTCTTTCTGTGGAGTTTGCAAGTGGAGATTTCAAGCGATTTGAGGCTAATCTTTGAAATGGAAATATCTTCGTGTAAAAACTACACAGAATCATTCTCAGAAACTGCTTTGTCATCTGTGCGTTCAGTTCACAGAGTTTCACCTTTCTCTTCATAGAGCAGTTTGGAAAGACTCTGTCTGTAAAGTCTGCAAGTGATTAGTTAGACCCCTTTGAGGCCTTCGTTGGAAGCGGGATTTCTCATTTACTGCTAGACAGAAGAATTCTCAGTAAATCCTTTGTGTTGTGTGTATTCAACTCACAGAGTGGAACCTTCCTTTATTCAGAGCACTTTTGAAACACTCTTTTTGTGGAATTTGCAAGTGGAGATTTCAAGCGAATTCAGGCCAATCTTAGACATGGAAACATCTTCGTATTAAAAGTACACAGAGTCATTCGCAGAAACTAGTTTGTGATGTGTGCCTTCAACGCACGGAGTTTAACCTTTCTTTTCATAGAGCAGTTTGGAAACACTCTATTTGTAAAGTCTGCAAGTGGATATTTGGACCTCTTTGAGGCCTTCGTTGGAAACGGGATTTCTTCATATAACGCTAGACAGAAGAATTCTCAGTAACTTCTTTGTGTTGTTTGTATTCAACTCACAGATTTGAACCTTCCTTTGGAGAGAGCAGATTTGAAACACTCTGTTTTTGGAATTTGCAAGTGCAGATTGCAAGCGCTTCTAGGCCTATGGCAGAAAAGGAAATATCTTCGTATAAAAACTACACAGAATCATTCTCAACAACTACTTTGTGATGTGTGCGTTCAACTCCCAGAGTTTAACCTTTCTTTTCATAGAGCAGTTTGGAAACACTCTGTTTGTAAAGCCTGCAAGTGCTTTTTTGGACTTCATTGAGGCCTTCGTTGGAAACGGGATTTCTTCATATAATGCTAGACAGAAGAATTCTCAGTCACTTCTTTGTGTTGTGTGTATTCAAGTCACAGAGTTGAACCTTCCTTTAGACAGAGTAGTTTTGAAAAATTCTTTCTGTGGAATTTGCAAGTGGAGATTTCAAGCGAATTGAGGCTAATCTTTGAAATGGAAATATCTTCGTGTAAAAACTATACAGAATCATTCTCAGAAACTGCTTTGTCATCTGTGCGTTCAGTTCACAGAGTTTCACCTTTCTCTTCATAGAGCAGTTTGGAAAGACTCTGTCTGTAAAGTCTGCAAGTGATTAGTTAGACCCCTTTGAGGCCTTCGTTGGAAGCGGGATTTCTCATTTACTGCTAGACAGAAGAATTCTCAGTAAATCATTTGTGTTGCGTTTATTCAACTCACAGAGTGGAACCTTCCTTTATTCAGAGCAGTTTTGAAACACTCTTTTTGTGGAATTTGCAAGTGGAGATTTCAAGCGATTTGACGCCAATCTTAGACATGGAAATATCTTCATATTAAAAGTACACAGAGTCATTCGCAGAAACTAGTTTGTGATGTGTGCCTTCAACTCACGGAGTTTAACCTTTCTTTTCATAGAGCAGTTTGGAAACACTCTATTTGTAAAGTCTGCAAGTGGATATTTGGACCTCTTTGAGGCCTTCGTTGGAAACGGGATTTCTTCATATAACGCTAGACAGAAGAATTCTCTGTAACTTCTTTGTGTTGTGTGTATTCCACTCACAGAGTTGAACCTTTCTTGAGAGAGAGCAGAGTTGAAACACTCTGTTTGGGGAATTTGCTAGTGCAGATTTCAAACGCTTCGAAGACAGTGATAGAAAAGGATATATCTTCGTATTAAAACTAGACAAAATCATTCTCAGAAAACACTTTGTGATGTGTGTGTTCAACTCACAGAGTTTAACCTTTTTTAATCGAGCAGTTTGGAAATACACTCTTTGTAAGTCTGCAGCTGGATAATTGTCCCTCTATGAGCCCTTCGTTGGAAACGGGATTTCCTCTTATAATGCTAGACAGAAGAATTCTCAGTAACTTCTTTGTGTTGTTTGTATTCAACTCACAGATTTGAACCTTCCTTTAGAGAGAGCAGATTTGAAACACTCTGTTTTTGGAATTTGCAAGTGCAGATTACAAGCGCTTCTAGGCCTATGGCAGAAAAGGAAATATCTTCGTATAAAAACTACACAGAATCATTCTCAACAACTACTTTGTGATGTGTGCGTTCAACTCACAGAGTTTAACCTTTCTTTTCATAGAGCAGTTTGGAAACACTCTGTTTGTAAAGTCTGCAGGTGCTTATTTGGACTTCTTTGAGGCCTTCGTTGGAAACGGGATTTCTTCATATAATGCTAGACAGAAGAATTCTCAGTCACTTCTTTGTGTTGTGTGTATTCAAGTCACAGAGTTGAACCTTCCTTTACACAGAGCAGTTTTGAAAAACTCTTTCTGTGGAATTTGCAAGTGGAGATTTCAAGCGATTTGAGGCTAATCTTTGAAATGGAAATATCTTCGTGTAAAAACTACACAGAATCATTCTCAGAAACTGCTTTGTCATCTGTGCGTTCAGTTCACAGAGTTTCACCTTTCTCTTCATAGAGCAGTTTGGAAAGACTCTGTCTGTAAAGTCTGCAAGTGATTAGTTAGACCCCTTTGAGGCCTTCGTTGGAAGCGGGATTTCTCATTTACTGCTAGACAGAAGAATTCTCAGTAAATCCTTTGTGTTGTGTGTATTCAACTCACAGAGTGGAACCTTCCTTTATTCAGAGCACTTTTGAAACACTCTTTTTGTGGAATTTACAAGTGGAGATTTCAAGCGAATTCACGCCAATCTTAGACATGGAAACATCTTCGTATTAAAAGTACACAGAGTCATTCGCAGAAACTAGTTTGTGATGTGTGCCTTCAACTCACGGAGTTTAACCTTTCTTTTCATAGAGCAGTTTGGAAACACTCTATTTGTAAAGTCTGCAAGTGGATATTTGGACCTCTTTGAGGCCTTCGTTGGAAACGGGATTTCTTCATATAACGCTAGACAGAAGAATTCTCAGTAACTTCTTTGTGTTGTGTGTATTCCACTCACAGAGTTGAACCTTTCTTGAGAGAGAGCAGAGTTGAAACACTCTGTTTGTGGAATTTGCTAGTGCAGATTTCAAACGCTTCGAAGACAGTGATAGAAAAGGATATATCTTCGTATTAAAACTAGACAAAATCATTCTCAACAACTACTTTATGATGTGTGCGTTCAACTCACAGAGTTTAACCTTTCTTTTCATAGAGCAGTTTGGAAACACTCTGTTTGTAAAGCCTGCAAGTGCTTTTTTGGACTTCATTGAGGCCATCGTTGGAAACGGGATTTCTTCATATAATGCTAGACAGAAGAATTCTCAGTCACTTCTTTGTGTTGTGTGTATTCAAGTCACAGAGTTGAACCTTCCTTTACACAGAGCAGTTTTGAAAAGCTCTTTCTGTGGAATTTGCAAGTGGAGATTTCAAGCGATTTGAGGCTAATCTTTGAAATGGAAATATCTTCGTGTAAAAACTACACAGAATCATTCTCAGAAACTGCTTTGTTATGTGTGCGTTCAGCTCACAGAGTTCCACCTTTCTCTTCATAGAGCAGTTTGGAAAGACTCTGTCTGTAAAGTCTGCAAGTGATTACTTGGACCCCTTTGAGGACTTCGTTGGAAGCGGGATTTTTTCATTTACTGCTAGACAGAAGAATTCTCAGTAAATCCTTTGTGTTGTGTGTATTCAACTCACAGAGTGGAACCTTCCTTTATTCAGAGCAGTTTTGAAACACTCTTTTTGTGGAATTTGCAAGTGGAGATTTCAAGCGAATTCACGCCAATCTTAGACATGGAAACATCTTCGTATTAAAAGTACACAGAGTCATTCGCAGAAACTAGTTTGTGATGTGTGCCTTCAACTCACGGAGTTTAACCTTTCTTTTCATAGAGCAGTTTGGAAACACTCTATTTGTAAAGTCTGCAAGTGGATATTTGGACCTCTTTGAGGCCTTCGTTGGAAACGGGATTTCTTCATATAACGCTAGACAGAAGAATTCTCAGTAACTTCTTTGTGTTGTTTGTATTCAACTCACAGATTTGAACCTTCCTTTGGAGAGAGCAGATTTGAAACACTCTGTTTTTGGAATTTGCAAGTGCAGATTGCAAGCGCTTCTAGGCCTATGGCAGAAAAGGAAATATCTTCGTATAAAAACTACACAGAATCATTCTCAGAAAACTCTTTGTGATGTGTGTGTTCAACTCACAGAGTTTAACCTTTCTTTAATCGAGCAGTTTGGAAATACACTCTTTGTAAGTCTGCAGGTGGATATTTGGCCCTCTTTGAGCCCTTCGTTGGAAACGGGATTTCCTCATATAATGCTAGACAGAAGAATTCTCAGTCACTTCTTTGTGTTGTGTGTATTCAAGTCACAGAGTTGAACCTTCCTTTACACAGAGCAGTTTTGAAAAACTCTTTCTGTGGAATTTGCAAGTGGAGATTTCAAGCGATTTGAGGCTAATCTTTGAAATGGAAATAGCTTCGTGTAAAAACTACACAGAATCATTCTCAGAAACTGCTTTGTCATCTGTGCGTTCAGTTCACAGAGTTTCACCTTTCTCTTCATAGAGCAGTTTGGAAAGACTCTGTCTGTAAAGTCTGCAAGTGATTAGTTAGACCCCTTTGAGGCCTTCGTTGGAAGCGGGATTTCTCATTTACTGCTAGACAGAAGAATTCTCAGTAAATCCTTTGTGTTGTGTGTATTCAACTCACAGAGTGGAACCTTCCTTTATTCAGAGCAGTTTTGAAACACTCTTTTTGTGGAATTTGCAAGTGGAGATTTCAAGCGAATTCACGCCAATCTTAGACATGGAAACATCTTCGTATTAAAAGTACACAGAGTCATTCGTAGAAACTAGTTTGTGATGTGTGCCTTCAACTCACAGAGTTTAACCTTTCTTTTCATAGAGCAGTTGGGAAACACTCTATTTGTAAAGTCTGCAAGTGGATATTTGGACCTCTTTGAGGCCTTCGTTGGAAACGGGATTTCTTCATATAACGCTAGACAGAAGAATTCTCAGTAACTTCTTTGTGTTGTTTGTATTCAACTCACAGATTTGAACCTTCCTTTAGAGAGAGCAGATTTGAAACACTCTGTTTTTGGAATTTGCAAGTGCAGATTACAAGCGCTTCTAGGCCTATGGCAGAAAAGGAAATATCTTCGTATAAAAACTACACAGAATCATTCTCAACAACTACTTTGTGATGTGTGCGTTCAACTCACAGAGTTTAACCTTTCTTTTCATAGAGCAGTTTGGAAACACTCTGTTTGTAAAGCCTGCAAGTGCTTTTTTGGACTTCATTGAGGCCTTCGTTGGAAACGGGATTTCTTCATATAATGCTAGACAGAAGAATTCTCAGTCACTTCTTTGTGTTGTGTGTATTCAAGTCACAGAGTTGAACCTTCCTTTACACAGAGCAGTTTTGAAAAACTCTTTCTGTGGAATTTGCAAGTGGAGATTTCAAGCGATTTGAGGCTAATCTTTGAAATGGAAATATCTTCGTGTAAAAACTACACAGAATCATTGTCAGAAACTGCTTTGTTATGTGTGCGTTCAGCTCACAGAGTTCCACCTTTCTTTTCATAGAGCAGTTTGGAAAGACTCTGTCTGTAAAGTCTGCAAGTGATTACTTGGACCCCTTTGAGGACTTCGTTGGAAGCGGGATTTTTTCATTTACTGCTAGACAGAAGAATTCTCAGTAAATCCTTTGTGTTGTGTGTATTCAACTCACAGAGTGGAACCTTCCTTTATTCAGAGCAGTTTTGAAAAACACTTTTTGTGGAATTTGCAAGTGGAGATTTCAAGCGATTTGACGCCAATCTTAGACATGGAAATATCTTCATATTAAAAGTACACAGAATCATTCGTAGAAACTAGTTTGTGATGTGTGCCTTCAACTCACAGAGTTTAACCTTTCTTTTCATAGAGCAGTTCGGAAACATTCTATTTGTAAAGTCTGCAAGTGGATATTTGGACCTCTTTGAGGCCTTCGTTGGAAAAGGGATTTCTTCATATAACGCTAGACAGAAGAATTCTCAGTAACTTCTTTGTGTTGTTTGTATTCAACTCACAGATTTGAACCTTCCTTTAGAGAGAGCAGATTTGAAACACTCTGTTTTCGGAATTTGCAAGTGCAGATTACAAGCGCTTCTAGGCCTATGGCAGAAAAGGAAATATCTTCGTATAAAAACTACACAGAATCATTCTCAACAACTACTTTGTGATGTGTGCCTTCAACTCACAGAGTTTAACCTTTCTTTTCATAGAGCAGTTTGGAAACACTCTGTTTGTAAAGCCTGCAAGTGCTTTTTTGGACTTCATTGAGGCCTTCGTTGGAAACGGGATTTCTTCATATAATGCTGGACAGAAGAATTCTCAGTCACTTCTTTGTGTTGTGTGTATTCAAGTCACAGAGTTGAACCTTCCTTTAGACAGAGCCGTTTTGAAAAATTCTTACTGTGGAATTTGCAAGTGGAGATTTCAAGCGATTTGAGGCTAATCTTTGAAATGGAAATATCTTCGTGTAAAAACTACACAGAATCATTCTCAGAAACTGCTTTGTCATCTGTGCGCTCAGTTCACAGAGTTTCACCTTTCTCTTCATAGAGCAGTTTGGAAAGACTCTGTCTGTAAAGTCTGCAAGTGATTAGTTAGACCCCTTTGAGGCCTTCGTTGGAAGCGGGATTTCTCATTTACTGCTAGACAGAAGAATTCTCAGTAAATCCTTTGTGTTGTGTGTATTCAACTCACAGAGTGGAACCTTCCTTTATTCAGAGCACTTTTGAAACACTCTTTTTGTGGAATTTGCAAGTGGAGATTTCAAGCGAATTCACGCCAATCTTAGACATGGAAACATCTTCGTATTAAAAGTACACAGAGTCATTCGCAGAAACTAGTTTGTGATGTGTGCCTTCAACTCACAGTGTTTAACCTTTGTTTTCATAGAGCAGTTTGGAAACACTCTATTTGTAAAGTCTGCAAGTGGATATTTGGACTTCTTTGACGCCTTCGTTGGAAACGGGATTTCTTCTTATAACGCTACACAGAAGAATTCTCAGTAACTTCTTTGTGTTGTGTGTATTCAACTCACAGAGTTGAACCTTTCTTTAGAGGGAGCAGAGGTGAAACACTCTTTTTGTGGAATTTGCTAGTGTAGATTTCAAACGCTTCGAAGACAGTGATAGAAAAGGATATATCTTCGTATTAAAAGTAGACAAAATCATTCTCAACAACTACTTTGTGATGTGTGCGTTCAACTCACAGAGTTTAACCTTTCTTTTCATAGAGCAGTTTGGAAACACTCTGTTTGTAAAGCCTGCAAGTGCTTTTTTGGACTTCATTGAGGCCTTCGTTGGAAACGGGATTTCTTCATATAATGCTAGACAGAAGAATTCTCAGTCACTTCTTTGTGTTGTGTGTATTCAAGTCACAGAGTTGAACCTTCCTTTAGACAGAGCAGTTTTGAAAAATTCTTTCTGTGGAGTTTGCAAGTGGAGATTTCAAGCGATTTGAGGCTAATCTTTGAAATGGAAATATCTTCGTGTAAAAACTACACAGAATCATTCTCAGAAACTGCTTTGTCATCTGTGCGTTCAGTTCACAGAGTTTCACCTTTCTCTTCATAGAGCAGTTTGGAAAGACTCTGTCTGTAAAGTCTGCAAGTGATTAGTTAGACCCCTTTGAGGCCTTCGTTGGAAGCGGGATTTCTCATTTACTGCTAGACAGAAGAATTCTCAGTAAATCCTTTGTGTTGTGTTTATTCAACTCACAGAGTGGAACCTTCCTTTATTCAGAGCAGTTTTGAAACACTCTTTTTGTGGAATTTGCAAGTGGAGATTTCAAGCGATTTGACGCCAATCTTAGACATGGAAATATCTTCATATTAAAAGTACACAGAGTCATTCGCAGAAACTAGTTTGTGATGTGTGCCTTCAACTCACGGAGTTTAACCTTTCTTTTCATAGAGCAGTTTGGAAACACTCTATTTGTAAGTCTGCAAGTGGATATTTGGACCTCTTTGAGGCCTTCGTTGGAAACGGGATTTCTTCATATAACGCTAGACAGAAGAATTCTCAGTAACTTCTTTGTGTTGTTTGTATTCAACTCACAGATTTGAACCTTCCTTTAGAGAGAGCAGATTTGAAACACTCTGTTTTTGGAATTTGCAAGTGCAGATTACAAGCGCTTCTAGGCCTGTGGCAGAAAAGGAAATATCTTCGTATAAAAACTACACAGAATCATTCTCAACAACTACTTTGTGATGTGTGCGTTCAACTCACAGAGTTTAACCTTTCTTTTCATAGAGCAGTTTGGAAACACTCTGTTTGTAAAGTCTGCAGGTGCTTATTTGGACTTCTTTGAGGCCTTCGTTGGAAACGGGATTTCTTCATGTAATGCTAGACAGAAGAATTCTCAGTCACTTCTTTGTGTTGTGTGTATTCAAGTCACAGAGTTGAACCTTCCTTTACACAGAGCAGTTTTGAAAAACTCTTTCTGTGGAATTTGCAAGTGGAGATTTCAAGCGATTTGAGGCTAATCTTTGAAATGGAAATATCTTCGTGTAAAAACTACACAGAATCATTCTCAGAAACTGCTTTGTCATCTGTGCGTTCAGTTCACAGAGTTTCACCTTTCTCTTCATAGAGCAGTTTGGAAAGACTCTGTCTGTAAAGTCTGCAAGTGATTAGTTAGACCCCTTTGAGGCCTTCGTTGGAAGCGGGATTTCTCATTTACTGCTAGACAGAAGAATTCTCAGTAAATCCTTTGTGTTGTGTGTATTCAACTCACAGAGTGGAACCTTCCTTTATTCAGAGCAGTTTTGAAACACTCTTTTTGTGGAATTTGCAAGTGGAGATTTCAAGCGAATTCACGCCAATCTTAGACATGGAAACATCTTCGTATTAAAAGTACACAGAGTCATTCGCAGAAACTAGTTTGTGATGTGTGCCTTCAACTCACGGAGTTTAACCTTTCTTTTCATAGAGCAGTTTGGAAACACTCTATTTGTAAAGTCTGCAAGTGGATATTTGGACCTCTTTGAGGCCTTCGTTGGAAACGGGATTTCTTCATATAACGCTAGACAGAAGAATTCTCAGTAACTTCTTTGTGTTGTGTGTATTCCACTCACAGAGTTGAACCTTTCTTGAGAGAGAGCAGAGTTGAAACACTCTGTTTGTGGAATTTGCTAGTGCAGATTTCAAACGCTTCGAAGACAGTGATAGAAAAGGATATATCTTCGTATTAAAACTAGACAAAATCATTCTCAACAACTACTTTGTGATGTGTGCGTTCAACTCACAGAGTTTAACCTTTCTTTTCATAGAGCAGTTTGGAAACACTCTGTTTGTAAAGCCTGCAAGTGCTTTTTTGGACTTCATTGAGGCCTTCGTTGGAAACGGGATTTCTTCATATAATGCTAGACAGAAGAATTCTCAGTCACTTCCTTGTGTTGTGTGTATTCAAGTCACAGAGTTGAACCTTCCTTTACACAGAGCAGTTTTGAAAAACTCTTTCTGTGGAATTTGCAAGTGGAGATTTCAAGCGATTTGAGGCTAATCTTTGAAATGGAAATATCTTCGTGTAAAAACTACACAGAATCATTGTCAGAAACTGCTTTGTTATGTGTGCGTTCAGCTCACAGAGTTCCACCTTTCTTTTCATAGAGCAGTTTGGAAAGACTCTGTCTGTAAAGTCTGCAAGTGATTACTTGGACCCCTTTGAGGACTTCGTTGGAAGCGGGATTTTTTCATTTACTGCTAGACAGAAGAATTCTCAGTAAATCCTTTGTGTTGTGTGTATTCAACTCACAGAGTGGAACCTTCCTTTATTCAGAGCAGTTTTGAAACACTCTTTTTGTGGAATTTGCAAGTGGAGATTTCAAGCGAATTCACGCCAATCTTAGACATGGAAACATCTTCGTATTAAAAGTACACAGAGTCATTCGCAGAAACTAGTTTGTGATGTGTGCCTTCAACTCACAGAGTTTAAGCTTTCTTTTCATAGAGCAGTTTGGAAACACTCTATTTGTAAAGTCTGCAAGTGGATATTTGGACCTCTTTGAGGCCTTCGTTGGAAACGGGATTTCTTCATATAACGCTAGACAGAAGAATTCTCAGTAACTTCTTTGTGTTGTGTGTATTCCACTCACAGAGTTGAACCTTTCTTGAGAGAGAGCAGAGTTGAAACACTCTTTCTGTGGAATTTGCTAGTGCAGATTTCAAACGCTTCGAAGACAGTGATAGAAAAGGATATATCTTCGTATTAAAACTAGACAAAATCATTCTCAACAACTACTTTGTGATGTGTGCGTTCAACTCACAGAGTTTAACCTTTCTTTTCATAGAGCAGTTTGGAAACACTCTGTTTGTAAAGCCTGCAAGTGCTTTTTTGGACTTCATTGAGGCCTTCGTTGGAAACGGGATTTCTTCATATAATGCTAGACAGAAGAATTCTCAGTCACTTCTTTGTGTTGTGTGTATTCAAGTCACAGAGTTGAACCTTCCTTTACACAGAGCAGTTTTGAAAAACTCTTTCTGTGGAATTTGCAAGTGGAGATTTCAAGCGATTTGAGGCTAATCTTTGAAATGGAAATATCTTCGTGTAAAAACTACACAGAATCATTCTCAGAAACTGCTTTGTTATGTGTGCGTTCAGCTCACAGAGTTCCACCTTTCTTTTCATAGAGCAGTTTGGAAAGACTCTGTCTGTAAAGTCTGCAAGTGATTACTTGGACCCCTTTGAGGACTTCGTTGGAAGCGGGATTTTTTCATTTACTGCTAGACAGAAGAATTCTCAGTAAATCCTTTGTGTTGTGTGTATTCACCTCACAGAGTGGAACCTTCCTTTATTCAGAGCAGTTTTGAAACACTCTTTTTGTGGAAATTGCAAGTGGAGATTTCAAGCGAATTCACGCCAATCTTAGACATGGAAACATCTTCGTATTAAAAGTACACAGAGTCATTCGTAGAAACTAGTTTGTGATGTGTGCCTTCAACTCACAGAGTTTAACCTTTCTTTTCATAGAGCAGTTGGGAAACACTCTATTTGTAAAGTCTGCAAGTGGATATTTGGACCTCTTTGAGGCCTTCGTTGGAAACGGGATTTCTTCATATAACGCTAGACAGAAGAATTCTCAGTAACTTCTTTGTGTTGTTTGTATTCAACACACAGATTTGAACCTTCCTTTAGAGAGAGCAGATTTGAAACACTCTGTTTTTGGAATTTGCAAGTGCAGATTTCAAGCGCTTCTAGGCCTATGGCAGAAAAGGAAATATCTTCGTATAAAAACTACACAGAATCATTCTCAGAAAACACTTTGTGATGTGTGTGTTCAACTCACAGAGTTTAACCTTTCTTTAATCGAGCAGTTTGGAAATACACTCTTTGTAAGTCTGCAGCTGGATAATTGTCCCTCTATGAGCCCTTCGTTGGAAACGGGATTTCCTCTTATAATGCTAGACAGAAGAATTCTCAGTCACTTCTTTGTGTTGTGTGTATTCAAGTCACAGAGTTGAACCTTCCTTTACACAGAGCAGTTTTGAAAAACTCTTTCTGTGGAATTTGCAAGTGGAGATTTCAAGCGATTTGAGGCTAATCTTTGAAATGGAAATATCTTCGTGTAAAAACTACACAGAATCATTCTCAGAAACTGCTTTGTCATCTGTGCGTTCAGTTCACAGAGTTTCACCTTTCTCTTCATAGAGCAGTTTGGAAAGACTCTGTCTGTAATGTCTGCAAGTGATTAGTTAGACCCCATTGAGGCCTTCGTTGGAAGCGGGATTTCTCATTTACTACTAGACAGAAGAATTCTCAGTAAATCCTTTGTGTTGTGTGTATTCAACTCACAGAGTTGAACCTTCCTTTATTCAGAGCAGTTTTGAAAAACACTTTTTGTGGAATTTGGAAGTGGAGATTTCAAGCGATTTGACGCCAATCTTAGACATGGAAATATCTTCATATTAAAAGTACACAGAGTCATTCGTAGAAACTAGTTTGTGATGTGTGCCTTCAACTCACAGAGTTTAACCTTTCTTTTCATAGAGTAGTTTGGAAACACTCTATTTGTAAAGTCTGCAAGTGGATATTTGGACCTCTTTGAGGCCTTCGTTCGAAAAGGGATTTCTTCATACAACGCTAGACAGAAGAATTCTCAGTAACTTCTTTGTGTTGTGTGTATTCAACTCACAGAGTTGAACCTTTCTTTAGAGAGAGCAGAGTTGAAACACTCTGTTTTTGGAATTTGCAAGTGCAGATTTCAAGCGATTCTAGGCCTATGGCAGAAAAGGAAATATCTTCGTATAAAAACTACACAGAATCATTCTCAGAAAACACTTTGTGATGTGTGTGTTCAACTCACAGAGTTTAACCTTTCTTTAATCGAGCAGTTTGGAAATACACTCTTTGTAAGTCTGCAGCTGGATAATTGTCCCTCTATGAGCCCTTCGTTGGAAACGGGATTTCCTCATATAATGCTAGACAGAAGAATTCTCAGTCACTTCTTTGTGTTGTGTGTATTCAAGTCACAGAGTTGAAACTTCCTTTAGACAGAGCAGTTTTGAAAAATTCTTTCTGTGGAATTTGCAAGTGGAGATTTCAAGCGATTTGAGGCTAATCTTTGAAATGGAAATATCTTCGTGTAAAAACTACACAGAATCATTCTCAGGAAACTGCTTTGTCATCTGTGCGTTCAGTTCACAGAGTTTCACCTTTCTCTTCATAGAGCAGTTTGGAAAGACTCTGTCTCTAAAGTCTGCAAGTGATTAGTTAGACCCCTTTGAGGCCTTCGTTGGAAGCGGGATTTCTCATTTACTGCTAGAAAGAAGAATTCTCAGTAAATCCTTTGTGTTGTGTGTATTCAACTCACAGAGTGGAACCTTCCTTTATTCAGAGCAGTTTTGAAACACTCTTTTTGTGGAATTTGCAAGTGGAGATTTCAAGCGAATTCACGCCAATCTTAGACATGGAAACATCTTTGTATTAAAAGTACACAGAGTCATTCGCAGAAACTAGTTTGTGATGTGTGCCTTCAACTCACAGAGTTTAACCTTTCTTTTCATAGAGCAGTTTGGAAACACTCTATTTGTAAAGTCTGCAAGTGGATATTTGGACCTCTTTGAGGCCTTCGTTGGAAACGGGATTTCTTCATATAACGCTAGACAGAAGAATTCTCAGTAACTTCTTTGTGTTGTGTGTATTCCACTCACAGAGTTGAACCTTTCTTGAGAGAGAGCAGAGTTGAAACACTCTTTTTGTGGAATTTGCTAGTGCAGATTTCAAACGCTTCGAAGACAGTGGTAGAAAAGGATATATCTTCGTATTAAAACTAGACAAAATCATTCTCAGAAAACACTTTGTGATGTGTGTGTTCAACTCACAGAGTTTAACCTTTCTTTAATCGAGCAGTTTGGAAATACACTCTTTGTAATTCTGCAGGTGGATAATTGTCCCTCTATGAGCCCTTCGTTGGAAACGGGATTTCCTCATATAATGCTAGACAGAAGAATTCTCAGTCACTTCTTTGTGTTGTGTGTATTCAACTCACAGAGTTGAACCTTCCTTTAGACAGAGCAGTTTTGAAAAATTCTTTCTGTGTAATTTGCAAGTGGAGATTTCAAGCGATTTGAGGCTAATCTTTGAAATGGAAATATCTTCGTGTAAAAACTACACAGAATCATTCTCAGAAACTTCTTTGTTATGTGTGCGTTCAGCTCACAGAGTTCCATCTTTCTTTTCATAGAGCAGTTTGGAAAGACTCTGTCTGTAAAGTCTGCAAGTGATTACTTGGACCCCTTTGAGGACTTCGTTGGAAGCGGGATTTTTTCATTTACTGCTAGACAGAAGAATTCTCAGTAAATCCTTTGTGTTGTGTGTATTCAACTCACAGAGTGGAACCTTCCTTTATTCAGAGCAGTTTTGAAACACTCTTTTTGTGGAATTTGCAAGTGGAGATTTCAAGCGATTTGACGCCAATCTTAGACATGGAAATATCTTCATATTAAAAGTACACAGAGTCATTCGCAGAAACTAGTTTGTGATGTGTGCCTTCAACTCACAGAGTTTAACCTTTCTTTTCATAGAGCAGTTTGGAAACACTCTATTTGTAAAGTCTGCAAGTGGATATTTGGACCTCTTTGAGGCCTTCGTTGGAAACGGGATTTCTTCATATAACGCTAGACAGAAGAATTCTCAGTAACTTCTTTGTGTTGTTTGTATTCAACTCACAGATTTGAACCTTCCTTTAGAGAGAGCAGATTTGAAACACTCTGTTTTTGGAATTTGCAAGTGCAGATTACAAGCGCTTCTAGGCCTATGGCAGAAAAGGAAATATCTTCGTATAAAAACTACACAGAAATCATTCTCAACAACTACTTTGTGATGTGTGCGTTCAACTCACAGAGTTTAACCTTTCTTTTCATAGAGCAGTTTGGAAACACTCTGTTTGTAAAGCCTGCAAGTGCTTCTTTGGACTTCATTGAGGCCTTCGTTGGAAACGGGATTTCTTCATATAATGCTAGACAGAAGAATTCTCAGTCACTTCTTTGTGTTGTGTGTATTCAAGTCACAGAGTTGAACCTTCCTTTAGACAGAGCAGTTTTGAAAAATTCTTTCTGTGGAATTTGCAAGTGGAGATTTCAAGCGATTTGAGGCTAATCTTTGAAATGGAAATATCTTCGTGTAAAAACTACACAGAATCATTCTCAGAAACTGCTTTGTCATCTGTGCGTTCAGTTCACAGAGTTTCACCTTTCTCTTCATAGAGCAGTTTGGAAAGACTCTGTCTGTAAAGTCTGCAAGTGATTAGTTAGACCCCTTTGAGGCCTTCGTTGGAAGCGGGATTTCTCATTTACTGCTAGACAGAAGAATTCTCAGTAAATCCTTTGTGTTGTGTGTATTCAACTCACAGAGTGGAACCTTCCTTTATTCAGAGCAGTTTTGAAACACTCTTTTTGTGGAATTTGCAAGTGGAGATTTCAAGCGAATTCACGCCAATCTTAGACATGGAAACATCTTCGTATTAAAAGTACACAGAATCATTCGTAGAAACTAGTTTGTGATGTGTGCCTTCAACTCACAGAGTTTAACCTTTCTTTTCATAGAGCAGTTCGGAAACATTCTATTTGTAAAGTCTGCAAGTGGATATTTGGACCTCTTTGAGGCCTTCGTTGGAAAAGGGATTTCTTCATATAACGCTAGACAGAAGAATTCTCAGTAACTTCTTTGTGTTGTTTGTATTCAACTCACAGATTTGAACCTTCCTTTGGAGAGAGCAGATTTGAAACACTCTGTTTTTGGAATTTGCAAGTGCAGATTACAAGCGCTTCTAGGCCTATGGCAGAAAAGGAAATATCTTCGTATAAAAACTACACAGAATCATTCTCAGAAAACACTTTGTGATGTGTGTGTTCAACTCACAGAGTTTAACCTTTCTTTAATCGAGCAGTTTGGAAATACACTCTTTGTAAGTCTGCAGCTGGATAATTGTCCCTCTATGAGCCCTTCGTTGGAAACGGGATTTCCTCTTATAATGCTAGACAGAAGAATTCTCAGTCACTTCTTTGTGTTGTGTGTATTCAAGTCACAGAGTTGAACCTTCCTTTACACAGAGCAGTTTTGAAAAACTCTTTCTGTGGAATTTGCAAGTGGAGATTTCAAGCGATTTGAGGCTAATCTTTGAAATGGAAATATCTTCGTGTAAAAACTACACAGAATCATTCTCAGAAACTGCTTTGTCATCTGTGCGTTCAGTTCACAGAGTTTCACCTTTCTCTTCATAGAGCAGTTTGGAAAGACTCTGTCTGTAAAGTCTGCAAGTGATTAGTTAGACCCCTTTGAGGCCTTCGTTGGAAGCGGGATTTCTCATTTACTGCTAGACAGAAGAATTCTCAGTAAATCCTTTGTGTTGTGTGTATTCAACTCACAGAGTGGAACCTTCCTTTATTCAGAGCAGATTTGAAAAACACTTTTTGTGGAATTTGCAAGTGGAGATTTCAAGCGATTTGACGCCAATCTTAGACATGGAAATATCTTCATATTAAAAGTACACAGAGTCATTCGTAGAAACTAGTTTGTGATGTGTGCCTTTAACTCACAGAGTTTAACCTTTCTTTTCATAGAGCAGTTTGGAAACACTCTGTTTGTAAAGTCTGCAAGTGGATATTTGGACCTCTTTGAGGCCTTCGTTGGAAACGGGATTTCTTCATACAACACTAGACAGAAGAATTCTCAGTAACTTCTTTGTGTTGTTTGTATTCAACTCACAGATTTGAACCTTCCTTTAGAGAGAGCAGATTTGAAACACTCTGTTTTTGGAATTTGCAAGTGCAGATTTCAAGCGCTTCTAGGCCTATGGCAGAAAAGGAAATATCTTCGTATAAAAACTACACAGAATCATTCTCAACAACTACTTTGTGATGTGTGCGTTCAACTCACAGAGTTTAACCTTTCTTTTCATAGAGCAGTTTGGAAACACTCTGTTTGGAAAGCCTGCAAGTGCTTTTTTGGACTTCATTGAGGCCTTCGTTGGAAACGGGATTTCTTCATATAATGCTAGACAGAAGAATTCTCAGTCACTTCTTTGTGTTGTGTGTATTCAAGTCACAGAGTTGAACCTTCCTTTAGACAGAGCAGTTTTGAAAAATTCTTTCTGTGTAATTTGCAAGTGGAGATTTCAAGCGATTTGAGGCTAATCTTTGAAATGGAAATATCTTCGTGTAAAAACTACACAGAATCATTGTCAGAAACTGCTTTGTTATGTGTGCGTTCAGCTCACAGAGTTCCACCTTTCTTTTCATAGAGCAGTTTGGAAAGACTCTGTCTGTAAAGTCTGCAAGTGATTACTTGGACCCCTTTGAGGACTTCGTTGGAAGCGGGATTTTTTCATTTACTGCTAGACAGAAGAATTCTCAGTAAATCCTTTGTGTTGTGTGTATTCAACTCACAGAGTGGAACCTTCCTTTATTCAGAGCAGTTTTGAAACACTCTTTGTGGAATTTGCAAGTGGAGATTTCAAGCGAATTCACGCCAATCTTAGACATGGAAATATCTTCGTATTAAAAGTACACAGAGTCATTCGTAGAAACTAGTTTGTGATGTGTGCCTTCAACTCACAGAGTTTAACCTTTCTTTTCATAGAGCAGTTTGGAAACACTCTATTTGTAAAGTCTGCAAGTGGATATTTGGACCTCTTTGAGGCCTTCGTTGGAAACGGGATTTCTTCATACAACGCTAGACAGAAGAATTCTCAGTAACTTCTTTGTGTTGTGTGTATTCCACTCACAGAGTTGAACCTTTCTTGAGAGAGAGCAGAGTTGAAACACTCTGTTTGTGGAATTTGCTAGTGCAGATTTCAAACGCTTCGAAGACAGTGATAGAAAAGGATATATCTTCGTATTAAAACTAGACAAAATCATTCTCAACAACTACTTTGTGATGTGTGCGTTCAGCTCACAGAGTTTAACCTTTCTTTTCATAGAGCAGTTTGGAAACACTCTGTTTGTAAAGTCTGCAGGTGCTTATTTGGACTTCTTTGAGGCCTTCGTTGGAAACGGGATTTCTTCATATAATGCTAGACAGAAGAATTCTCAGTCACTTCTTTGTGTTGTGTGTATTCAAGTCACAGAGTTGAACCTTCCTTTACACAGAGCAGTTTTGAAAAACTCTTTCTGTGGAATTTGCAAGTGGAGATTTCAAGCGATTTGAGGCTAATCTTTGAAATGGAAATATCTTCGTGTAAAAACTACACAGAATCATTCTCAGAAACTGCTTTGTCATCTGTGCGTTCAGTTCACAGAGTTTCACCTTTCTCTTCATAGAGCAGTTTGGAAAGACTCTGTCTGTAAAGTCTGCAAGTGATTAGTTAGACCCCTTTGAGGCCTTCGTTGGAAGCGGGATTTCTCATTTACTGCTAGACAGAAGAATTCTCAGTAAATCCTTTGTGTTGTGTGTATTCAACTCACAGAGTGGAACCTTCCTTTATTCAGAGCACTTTTGAAACACTCTTTTTGTGGAATTTGCAAGTGGAGATTTCAAGCGAATTCACGCCAATCTTAGACATGGAAACATCTTCGTATTAAAAGTACACAGAGTCATTCGCAGAAACTAGTTTGTGATGTGTGCCTTCAACTCACAGAGTTTAACCTTTCTTTTCATAGAGCAGTTTGGAAACACTCTATTTGTAAAGTCTGCAAGTGGATATTTGGACCTCTTTGAGGCCTTCGTTGGAAACGGGATTTCTTCATATAACGCTAGACAGATGAATTCTCAGTAACTTCTTTGTGTTGTTTGTATTGTATTCAACTCACAGATTCGAACCTTCCTTTAGAGAGAGCAGATTTGAAACACTCTGTTTTTGGAATTTGCAAGTGCAGATTTCAAGCGCTTCTAGGCCTATGGCAGAAAAGGAAATATCTTCGTATAAAAACTGCACAGAATCATTCTCAACAACTACTTTGTGATGTGTGCGTTCAACTCACAAAGTTTAACCTTTCTTTTCATAGAGCAGTTTGGAAACACTCTGTTTGTAAAGCCTGCAATTGCTTTTTTGGACTTCATTGAGGCCTTCGTTGGAAACGGGATTTCTTCATATAATGCTAGACAGAAGAATTCTCAGTCACTTCTTTGTGTTGTGTGTATTCAAGTCACAGAGTTGAACCTTCCTTTAGACAGAGCAGTTTTGAAAAATTCTTTCTGTGGAGTTTGCAAGTGGAGATTTCAAGCGATTTGAGGCTAATCTTTGAAATGGAAATATCTTCGTGTAAAAACTACACAGAATCATTCTCAGAAACTGCTTTGTTATGTGTGCGTTCAGCTCGCAGAGTTCCACCTTTCTTTTCATAGAGCAGTTTGGAAAGACTCTGTCTGTAAAGTCTGCAAGTGATTACTTGGACCCCTTTGAGGACTTCGTTGGAAGCGGGATTTTTTCATTTACTGCTAGACAGAAGAATTCTCAGTAAATCCTTTGTGTTGTGTGTATTCAACTCACAGAGTGGAACCTTCCTTTATTCAGAGCAGTTTTGAAACACTCTTTTTGTGGAATTTGCAAGTGGAGATTTCAAGCGAATTCACGCCAATCTTAGACATGGAAACATCTTCGTATTAAAAGTACACAGAGTCATTCGCAGAAACTAGTTTGTGATGTGTGCCTTCAACTCACGGAGTTTAACCTTTCTTTTCATAGAGCAGTTTGGAAACACTCTATTTGTAAAGTCTGCAAGTGGATATTTGGACGTCTTTGAGGCCTTCGTTGGAAACGGGATTTCTTCATATAACGCTAGACAGAAGAATTCTCAGTAACTTCTTTGTGTTGTTTGTATTCAACTCACAGATTTGAACCTTCCTTTAGAGAGAGCAGATTTGAAACACTCTCTTTTTGGAATTTGCAAGTGCAGATTACAAGCGCTTCTAGGCCTATGGCAGAAAAGGAAATATCTTCGTATAAAAACTACACAGAATCATTCTCAACAACTACTTTGTGATGTGTGCGTTCAACTCACAGAGTTTAACCTTTCTTTTCATAGAGCAGTTTGGAAACACTCTGTTTGTAAAGTCTGCAGGTGCTTCTTTGGACTTCTTTGAGGCCTTCGTTGGAAACGGGATTTCTTCATATAATGCTAGACAGAAGAATTCTCAGTCACTTCTTTGTGTTGTGTGTATTCAAGTCACACAGTTGAACCTTCCTTTACACAGAGCAGTTTTGAAAAACTCTTTCTGTGGAATTTGCAAGTGGAGATTTCAAGCGATTTGAAGCTAATCTTTGAAATGGAAATATCTTCGTGTAAAAACTACACAGAATCTTTCTTAGTAACTGCTTTGTTATGTGTGCGTTCAGCTCACAGAGTTCCACCTTTCTTTTCATAGAGCAGTTTGGAAAGACTCTGTCTGTGAAGTCTGCAAGTGATTACTTGGACCCCTTTGAGGACTTCGTTGGAAGAGGAATTTTTTCATTTACTGCTAGACAGAAGAATTCTCAGTAAATCCTTTGTGTTGTGTGTATTCAACTCACAGAGTTGAACCTTCCTTTATTCAGAGCAGTTTTGACACACTCTTTTTGTGGAATTTGCAAGTGGAGATTTCAAGCGATTTCACGCCAATCTTAGACATGGAAATATCTTCGTATTTAAAGTACACAGAGTCATTCGTAAAAACTAGTTTGTGATGTGTGCCTTCAACTCACAGAGTTTAACCTTTCTTTTCATAGAGCAGTTTGGAAACACTCTATTTGTAAAGTCTGCAAGTGGATATTTGGACCTCCTTTGAGGCCTTCGTTGGAAACGGGATTTCTTCATACAACGCTAGACAGAAGAATTCTCAGTAACTTCTTTGTGTTGTTTGTATACAACTCACAGATTTGAACCTTCCTTTAGAGGGAGCAGATTTGAAACACTCTGTTTTTGGAATTTGCAAGTGCAGATTTCAAGCGCTTCTAGGCCTATGGCAGAAAAGGAAATATCTTCGTATAAAAACTACACAGAATCATTCTCAACAACTACTTTGTGATGTGTGCGTTCAACTCACAGAGTTTAACTTTTCTTTTCATAGAGCAGTTTCGAAACACTCTGTTTGTAAAGTCTGCAGGTGCTTATTTGGACTTCTTTGAGGCCTTCGTTGGAAACGGGATTTCTTCATATAATGCTAGACAGAAGAATTTACAGTCACGTCTTTGTGTTGTGTGTATTCAAGTCACAGAGTTGAACCTTCCTTTACACAGAGCAGTTTTGAAAAACTCTTTCTGTGGAATTTGCAAGTGGAGATTTCAAGCGATTTGAGGCTAATCTTTGAAATGGAAATATCTTCGTGTAAAAACTACACAGAATCATTCTCAGAAACTGCTTTGTTATGTGTGCGTTCAGCTCACACGGTTCCACCTTTCTTTTCATAGGGCAGTTTGGAAAGACTCTGTCTGTGAAGTCTGCAAGTGATTACTTGGACCCCTTTGAGGACTTCGTTGGAAGCGGGATTTTTTCATTTACTGCTAGACAGAAGAATTCTCAGTAAATCCTTTGTGTTGTGTGTATTCAACTCACAGAGTGGAACCTTCCTTTATTCAGAGCAGTTTTGAAAAACACTTTTTGTGGAATTTGCAAGTGGAGATTTCAAGCGATTTGACGCCAATCTTAGACATGGAAATATCTTCATATTAAAAGTACACAGAGTCATTCGCAGAAACTAGTTTGTGATGCGTGCCTTCAACTCACGGAGTTAAACCTTTCTTTTCATAGAGCAGTTTGGAAACACTCTCTTTGTAAAGTCTGCAAGTGGATATTTGGACCTCTTTGAGGCCTTCGTTGGAAACGGGATTTCTTCATATAACGCTAGACAGAAGAATTCTCAGTAACTTCTTTGTGTTGTGTGTATTCCACTCACAGAGTTGAACCTTTCTTGAGAGAGAGCAGAGTTGAAACACTCTTTCTGTGGAATTTGCTAGTGCAGATTTCAAACGCTTCGAAGACAGTGATAGAAAAGGATATATCTTCATATTAAAACTAGACAAAATCATTCTCAACAACTACTTTGTGATGTGTGCGTTCAACTCACAGAGTTTAACCTTTCTTTTCATAGAGCAGTTTGGAAACACTCTGTTTGTAAAGCCTGCAAGTGCTTTTTTGGACTTCATTGAGGCCTTTGTTGGAAACGGGATTTCTTCATATAACGCTAGACAGAAGAATTCTCAGTCACTTCTTTGTGTTGTGTGTATTCAAGTCACAGAGTTGAACCTTCCTTTAGACAGAGTAGTTTTGAAAAATTCTTTCTGTGGAATTTGCAAGTGGAGATTTCAGGCGATTTGAGGCTAATCTTTGAAATGGAAATGTCTTCGTGTAAAAACTACACAGAATCATTCTCAGAAACTGCTTTGTCATCTGTGCGTTCAGTTCACAGAGTTTCACCTTTCTCTTCATAGAGCAGTTTGGAAAGACTCTGTCTGTAAAGTCTGCAAGTGATTAGTTAGACCCCTTTGAGGCCTTCGTTGGAAGCGGGATTTCTCATTTACTGCTAGACAGAAGAATTCTCAGTAAATCCTTTGTGTTGTGTGTATTCAACTCACAGAGTGGAACCTTCCTTTATTCAGAGCAGTTTTGAAAAACACTTTTTGTGGAATTTGCAAGTGGAGATTTCAAGCGATTTGACGCCAATCTTAGACATGGAAATATCTTCATATTAAAAGTACACAGAAGTCATTCGCAGAAACTAGTTTGTGATGTGTGCCTTCAACTCACAGAGTTTAAGCTTTCTTTTCATAGAGCAGTTTGGAAACACTCTATTTGTAAAGTCTGCAAGTGGATATTTGGACCTCTTTGAGGCCTTCGTTGGAAACGGGATTTCTTCATATAACGCTAGACAGAAGAATTCTCAGTAACTTCTTTGTGTTGTTTGTATTCAACACACAGATTTGAACCTTCCTTTAGAGAGAGCAGATTTGAAACACTCTGTTTTTGGAATTTGCAAGTGCAGATTTCAAGCGCTTCTAGGCCTATGGCAGAAAAGGAAATATCTTCGTATAAAAACTACACAGAATCATTCTCAACAACTACTTTGTGATGTGTGCGTTCAACTCACAGAGTTTAACCTTTCTTTTCATAGAGCAGTTCGGAAACACTCTGTTTGTAAAGCCTGCAAGTGCTTTTTTGGACTTCATTGAGGCCTTCGTTGGAAACGGGATTTCCTCATATAATGCTAGACAGAAGAATTCTCAGTCACTTCTTTGTGTTTTGTGTATTCAAGTCACAGAGTTGAACCTTCCTTTAGACAGAGCAGTTTTGAAAAATTCTTTCTGTGTAATTTGCAAGTGGAGATTTCAAGCGATTTGAGGCTAATCTTTGAAATGGAAATATCTTCGTGTAAAAACTACACAGAATCATTCTCAGAAACTGCTTTGTCATCTGTGCGTTCAGTTCACAGAGTTTCACCTTTCTCTTCATAGAGCAGTTTGGAAAGACTCTGTCTGTAAAGTCTGCAAGTGATTAGTTAGACCCCTTTGAGGCCTTCGTTGGAAGCGGGATTTCTCATTTACTGCTAGACAGAAGAATTCTCAGTAAATCCTTTGTGTTGTGTGTATTCAACTCACAGAGTGGAACCTTCCTTTATTCAGAGCAGTTTTGAAACACTCTTTTTGTGGAAATTGCAAGTGGAGATTTCAAGCGAATTCACGCCAATCTTAGACATGGAAACATCTTCGTATTAAAAGTACACAGAGTCATTCGCAGAAACTAGTTTGTGATGTGTGCCTTCAACGCACGGAGTTTAAACTTTCTTTTCATAGAGCAGTTTGGAAACACTCTATTTGTAAAGTCTGGAAGTGGATATTTGGACCTCTTTGAGGCCTTCGTTGGAAACGGGATTTCTTCATATAACGCTAGACAGAAGAATTCTCTGTAACTTCTTTGTGTTGTGTGTATTCCACTCACAGAGTTGAACCTTTCTTGAGAGAGAGCAGAGTTGAAACACTCTTTTTGTGGAATTTGCTAGTGCAGATTACAAACGCTTCGAAGACAGTGATAGAAAAGGATATATCTTCGTATTAAAACTAGACAAAATCATTCTCAACAACTACTTTGTGATGTGTGCGTTCAACTCACAGAGTTTAACCTTTCTTTTCATAGAGCAGTTTGGAAACACTCTGTTTGTAAAGCCTGCAAGTGCTTTTTTGGACTTCATTGAGGCCTTCGTTGGAAACGGGATTTCTTCATGTAATGCTAGACAGAAGAATTCTCAGTCACGTCTTTGTGTTGTGTGTATTCAGGTCACAGAGTTGAACCTTCCTTTACACAGAGCAGTTTTGAAAAACTCTTTCTGTGGAATTTGCAAGTGGAGATTTCAAGCGATTTGAGGCTAATCTTTGAAATGGAAATATCTTCGTGTAAAAACTACACAGAAGCATTCTCAGAAACTGCTTTGTCATCTGTGCGTTCAGTTCACAGAGTTTCACCTTTCTCTTCATAGAGCAGTTTGGAAAGACTCTGTCTTTAAAGTCTGCAAGTGATTAGTTAGACCCCTTTGAGGCCTTCGTTGGAAGCGGGATTTCTCATTTACTGCTAGACAGAAGAATTCTCAGTAAATCCTTTGTGTTGTGTGTATTCAACTCACAGAGTGGAACCTTCCTTTATTCAGAGCAGTTTTGAAAAACACTTTTTGTGGAATTTGCAAATGGAGATTTCAACCGATTTGACGGCAATCTTAGACATGGAAATATCTTCATATTAAAAGTACACAGAGTCATTCGCAGAAACTAGTTTGTGATGTGTGCCTTCAACTCACAGAGTTTAACCTTTCTTTTCATAGAGCAGTTTGGAAACACTCTATTTGTAAAGTCTGCAAGTGGATATTTGGACGTCTTTGCGGCCTTCGTTGGAAACGGGATTTCTTCATATAACGCTAGACAGAAGAATTCACAGTAACTTCTTTGTGTTGTGTGTATTCCACTCACAGAGTTGAACCTTTCTTGAGAGAGAGCAGAGTTGAAACACTCTGTTTGTGGAATTTGCTAGTGCCGATTTCAAACGCTTCGAAGACAGTGATAGAAAAGGATATATCTTCGTATTAAAACTAGACAAAATCATTCTCAACAACTACTTTGTGATGTGTGCGTTCAACTCACAGAGTTTAACCTTTCTTTTCATAGAGCAGTTTGGAAACACTCTGTTTGTAAAGTCTGCAGGTGCTTATTTGGACTTCTTTGAGGCCTTCGTTGGAAACGGGATTTCTTCATATAATGCTAGACAGAAGAATTCTCAGTCACTTCTTTGTGTTGTGTGTATTCAAGTCACAGAGTTGAACCTTCCTTTAGACAGAGCAGTTTTGAAAAATTCTTTCTGTGGAGTTTGCAAGTGGAGATTTCAAGCGATTTGAGGCTAATCTTTGAAATGGAAATATCTTCGTGTAAAAACTACACAGAATCATTCTCAGAAACTGCTTTGTCATCTGTGCGTTCAGTTCACAGAGTTTCACCTTTCTCTTCATAGAGCAGTTTGGAAAGACTCTGTCTGTAAAGTCTGCAAGTGATTAGTTAGACCCCTTTGAGGCCTTCGTTGGAAGCGGGATTTCTCATTTACTGCTAGACAGAAGAATTCTCAGTAAATCCTTTGTGTTGTGTGTATTCAACTCACAGAGTGGAACCTTCCTTTATTCAGAGCAGTTTTGAAACACTCTTTTTGTGGAATTTGCAAGTGGAGATTTCAAGCGAATTCACGCCAATCTTAGACATGGAAACATCTTCGTATTAAAAGTACACAGAGTCATTCGTAGAAACTAGTTTGTGATGTGTGCCTTCAACTCACAGAGTTTAACCTTTCTTTTCATAGAGCAGTTGGGAAACACTCTATTTGTAAAGTCTGCAAGTGGATATTTGGACCTCTTTGAGGCCTTCGTTGGAAACGGGATTTCTTCATATAACGCTAGACAGAAGAATTCTCAGTAACTTCTTTGTGTTGTTTGTATTCAACTCACAGATTTGAACCTTCCTTTGGAGAGAGCAGATTTGAAACACTCTGTTTTTGGAATTTGCAAGTGCAGATTGCAAGCGCTTCTAGGCCTATGGCAGAAAAGGAAATATCTTCGTATAAAAACTACACAGAATCATTCTCAGAAAACACTTTGTGATGTGTGTGTTCAACTCACAGAGTTTAACCTTTCTTTAATCGAGCAGTTTGGAAATACACTCTTTGTAAGTCTGCAGCTGGATAATTGTCCCTCTATGAGCCCTTCGTTGGAAACGGGATTTCCTCTTATAATGCTAGACAGAAGAATTCTCAGTCACTTCTTTGTGTTGTGTGTATTCAAGTCACAGAGTTGAACCTTCCTTTACACAGAGCAGTTTTGAAAAACTCTTTCTGTGGAATTTGCAAGTGGAGATTTCAAGCGATTTGAGGCTAATCTTTGAAATGGAAATATCTTCGTGTAAAAACTACACAGAATCATTCTCAGAAACTGCTTTGTTATGTGTGCGTTCAGCTCACAGAGTTCCACCTTTCTTTTCATAGAGCAGTTTGGAAAGACTCTGTCTGTAAAGTCTGCAAGTGATTACTTGGACCCCTTTGAGGACTTCGTTGGAAGCGGGATTTTTTCATTTACTGCTAGACAGAAGAATTCTCAGTAAATCCTTTGTGTTGTGTGTATTCAACTCACAGAGTGGAACCTTCCTTTATTCAGAGCAGTTTTGAAACACTCTTTGTGGAATTTGCAAGTGGAGATTTCAAGCGAATTCACGCCAATCTTAGACATGGAAATATCTTCGTATTAAAAGTACACAGAGTCATTCGCAGAAGCTAGTTTGTGATGTGTGCCTTCAACTCACGGAGTTTAACCTTTCTTTTCATAGAGCAGTTTGGAAACACTCTATTTGTAAAGTCTGCAAGTGGATATTTGGACCTCTTTGAGGCCTTCGTTGGAAACGGGATTTCTTCATAAAACGCTAGACAGAAGAATTCTCAGTAACTACTTTGTGTTGTTTGTATTCAACTCACAGATTGAACCTTCCTTTAGAGAGAGCAGATTTGTAACACTCTGTTTTTGGAATTTGCAAGTGCAGATTACAAGCGCTTCTAGGCCTATGGCAGAAAAGGAAATATCTTCGTATAAAAACTACACAGAATCATTCTCAACAACTACTTTGTGATGTGTGCGTTCAACTCACAGAGTTTAACCTTTCTTTTCATAGAGCAGTTTGGAAACACTCTGTTTGTAAAGTCTGCAGGTGCTTATTTGGACTTCTTTGAGGCCTTCGTTGGAAACGGGATTTCTTCATGTAATGCTAGACAGAAGAATTCTCAGTCACTTCTTTGTGTTGTGTGTATTCAAGTCACAGAGTTGAACCTTCCTTTACACAGAGCAGTTTTGAAAAACTCTTTCTGTGGAATTTGCAAGTGGAGATTTCAAGCGATTTGAGGCTAATCTTTGAAATGGAAATATCTTCGTGTAAAAACTACACAGAATCATTGTCAGAAACTGCTTTGTTATGTGTGCGTTCAGCTCACAGAGTTCCACCTTTCTTTTCATAGAGCAGTTTGGAAAGACTCTGTCTGTAAAGTCTGCAAGTGATTACTTGGACCCCTTTGAGGACTTCGTTGGAAGCGGGATTTTTTCATTTACTGCTAGACAGAAGAATTCTCAGTAAATCCTTTGTGTTGTGTGTATTCAACTCACAGAGTGGAACCTTCCTTTATTCAGAGCAGTTTTGAAACACTCTTTTTGTGGAATTTGCAAGTGGAGATTTCAAGCGAATTCACGCCAATCTTAGACATGGAAACATCTTCGTATTAAAAGTACACAGAGTCATTCGTAGAAACTAGTTTGTGATGTGTGCCTTCAACTCACAGAGTTTAACCTTTCTTTTCATAGAGCAGTTTGGAAACACTCTATTTGTAAAGTCTGCAAGTGGATATTTGGACCTCTTTGAGGCCTTCGTTGGAAACGGGATTTCTTCATACAACGCTAGACAGAAGAATTCTCAGTAACTTCTTTGTGTTGTTTGTATTCAACTCACAGATTTGAACCTTCCTTTGGAGAGAGCAGATTTGAAACACTCTGTTTTTGGAATTTGCAAGTGCAGATTGCAAGCGCTTCTAGGCCTATGGCAGAAAAGGAAATATCTTCGTATAAAAACTACACAGAATCATTCTCAACAACTACTTTGTGATGTGTGCGTTCAACTCACAGAGTTTAACCTTTCTTTTCATAGAGCAGTTTGGAAACACTCTGTTTGTAAAGTCTGCAGGTGCTTATTTGGACTTCTTTGAGGCCTTCGTTGGAAACGGGATTTCTTCATGTAATGCTAGACAGAAGAATTCTCAGTCACTTCTTTGTGTTGTGTGTATTCAAGTCACAGAGTTGAACCTTCCTTTACACAGAGCAGTTTTGAAAAACTCTTTCTGTGGAATTTGCAAGTGGAGATTTCAAGCGATTTGAGGCTAATCTTTGAAATGGAAATAGCTTCGTGTAAAAACTACACAGAATCATTCTCAGAAACTGCTTTGTTATGTGTGCGTTCAGCTCACAGAGTTCCACCTTTCTTTTCATAGAGCAGTTTGGAAAGACTCTGTCTGTAAAGTCTGCAAGTGATTACTTGGACCCCTTTGAGGACTTCGTTGGAAGCGGGATTTTTTCATTTACTGCCAGACAGAAGAATTCTCAGTAAATCCTTTGTGTTGTGTGTATTCAACTCACAGAGTGGAACCTTCCTTTATTCAGAGCAGTTTTGAAACACTCTTTTTGTGGAATTTGCAAGTGGAGATTTCAAGCGAATTCACGCCAATCTTAGACATGGAAACATCTTCGTATTAAAAGTACACAGAGTCATTCGTAGAAACTAGTTTGTGATGTGTGCCTTCAACTCACAGAGTTTAATCTTTCTTTTCATAGAGCAGTTGGGAAACACTCTATTTGTAAAGTCTGCAAGTGGATATTTGGACCTCTTTGAGGCCTTCGTTGGAAACGGGATTTCTTCATATAACGCTAGACAGAAAGAATTCTCAGTAACTTCTTTGTGTTGTTTGTATTCAACTCACAGATTTGAACCTTCCTTTAGAGAGAGCAGATTTGAAACACTCTGTTTTTGGAATTTGCAAGTGCAGATTACAAGCGCTTCTAGGCCTATGGCAGAAAAGGAAATATCTTCGTATAAAAACTACACAGAATCATTCTCAACAACTACTTTGTGATGTGTGCGTTCAACTCACAGAGTTTAACCTTTCTTTTCATAGAGCAGTTTGGAAACATTCTGTTTGTAAAGCCTGCAAGTGCTTTTTTGGACTTCATTGAGGCCTTAGTTGGAAACGGGATTTCTTCATATAATGCAAGACGGAAGAATTCTCAGTCACTTCTTTGTGTTGTGTGTATTCAAGTCACAGAGTTGAACCTTCCTTTAGACAGAGTAGTTTTGAAAAATTCTTTCTGTGGAGTTTGCAAGTGGAGATTTCAAGCGATTTGAGGCTAATCTTTGAAATGGAAATATCTTCGTGTAAAAACTACACAGAATCATTGTCAGAAACTGCTTTGTTATGTGTGCGTTCAGCTCACAGAGTTCCACCTTTCTTTTCATAGAGCAGTTTGGAAAGACTCTGTCTGTAAAGTCTGCAAGTGATTACTTGGACCCCTTTGAGGACTTCGTTGGAAGCGGGATTTTTTCATTTACTGCTAGACAGAAGAATTCTCAGTAAATCCTTTGTGTTGTGTGTATTCAACTCACAGAGTGGAACCTTCCTTTATTCAGAGCAGTTTTGAAACACTCTTTTTGTGGAATTTGCAAGTGGAGATTTCAAGCGATTTGACGCCAATCTTAGACATGGAAATATCTTCATATTAAAAGTACACAGAGTCATTCGCAGAAACTAGTTTGTGATGTGTGCCTTCAACTCACAGAGTTTAAGCTTTCTTTTCATAGAGCAGTTTGGAAACACTCTATTTGTATAGTCTGCAAGTGGATATTTGGACCTCTTTGAGGCCTTCGTTGGAAACGGGATTTCTTCATATAACGCTAGACAGAAGAATTCTCAGTAACTTCTTTGTGTTGTTTGTATTCAACTCACAGATTTGAACCTTCCTTTAGAGAGAGCAGATTTGAAACACTCTGTTTTTGGAATTTGCAAGTGCAGATTTCAAGCGCTTCTAGGCCTATGGCAGAAAAGGAAATATCTTCGTATAAAAACTACACAGAATCATTCTCAACAACTACTTTGTGATGTGTGCGTTCAACTCACAGAGTTTAACCTTTCTTTTCATAGAGCAGTTTGGAAACACTCTGTTTGTAAAGTCTGCAGGTGCTTATTTGGACTTCTTTGAGGCCTTCGTTGGAAACGGGATTTCTTCATGTAATGCTAGACAGAAGAATTCTCAGTCACTTCTTTGTGTTGTGTGTATTCAAGTCACAGAGTTGAACCTTCTTTTAGACAGAGCAGTTTTGAAAAATTCTTTCTGTGGAATTTGCAATTGGAGATTTTAAGAGATTTGAGGCTAATCTTTGAAATGGAAATATCTTCGTGTAAAAACTACACAGAATCATTCTCAGAAACTGCTTTGTTATCTGTGCGTTCAGTTCACAGAGTTTCACCTTTCTCTTCATAGAGCAGTTTCGAAAGACTCTGTCTGTGAAGTCTGCAAGTGATTAGTTAGACCCCTTTGAGGCCTTCGTTGGAAGCGGGATTTCTCATTTACTGCTAGACAGAAGAATTCTCAGTAAATACTTTGTGTTGTGTGTATTCAACTCACAGAGTGGAACCTTCCTTTACTCAGAGCAGTTTTGAAAAACACTTTTTGTGGAATTTGGAAGTGGAGATTTCAAGCGATTTGACGCCAATCTTAGACATGGAAATATCTTCATATTAAAATTACACAGAAGTCATTCGTAGAAACTAGTTTGTGATGTGTGCCTTCAACTCACAGAGTTTAACCTTTCTTTTCATAGAGCAGTTTGGAAACACTCTATTTGTAAAGTCTGCAAGTGGATATTTGGACCTCTTTGAGGCCTTCGTTGGAAACGGGATTTCTTCATACAACGCTAGACAGAAGAATTCTCAGTAACTTCTTTGTGTTGTTTGTATTCAACTCACAGATTTGAACCTTCCTTTGGAGAGAGCAGATTTGAAACACTCTGTTTTTGGAATTTGCAAGTGCAGATTGCAAGCGCTTCTAGGCCTATGGCAGAAAAGGAAATATCTTCGTATAAAAACTACACAGAATCATTCTCAGAAAACTCTTTGTGATGTGTGTGTTCAACTCACAGAGTTTAACCTTTCTTTAATCGAGCAGTTTGGAAATACACTCTTTGTAAGTCTGCAGGTGGATATTTGGCCCTCTTTGAGCCCTTCGTTGGAAACGGGATTTCCTCATATAATGCTAGACAGAAGAATTCTCAGTCACTTCTTTGTGTTGTGTGTATTCAAGTCACAGAGTTGAACCATCCTTTACACAGAGCAGTTTTGAAAAACTCTTTCTGTGGAATTTGCAAGTGGAGATTTCAAGCGATTTGAGGCTAATCTTTGAAATGGAAATAGCTTCGTGTAAAAACTACACAGAATCATTGTCAGAAACTGCTTTGTTATGTGTGCGTTCAGCTCACAGAGTTCCACCTTTCTTTTCATAGAGCAGTTTGGAAAGACTCTGTCTGTAAAGTCTGCAAGTGATTACTTGGACCCCTTTGAGGACTTCGTTGGAAGCGGGATTTTTTCATTTACTGCTAGACAGAAGAATTCTCAGTAAATCCTTTGTGTTGTGTGTATTCAACTCACAGAGTGGAACCTTCCTTTATTCAGAGCAGTTTTGAAACACTCTTTTTGTGGAATTTGCAAGTGGAGATTTCAAGCGAATTCACGCCCATCTTAGACATGGAAACATCTTCGTATTAAAAGTACACAGAGTCATTCGTAGAAACTAGTTTGTGATGTGTGCCTTCAACTCACAGAGTTTAACCTTTCTTTTCATAGAGCAGTTTGGAAACACTCTATTTGTAAAGTCTGCAAGTGGATATTTGGACCTCTTTGAGGCCTTCGTTGGAAACGGGATTTCTTCATACAACGCTAGACAGAAGAATTCTCAGTAACTTCTTTGTGTTGTTTGTATTCAACTCACAGATTTGAACCTTCCTTTAGAGAGAGCAGATTTGAAACACTCTGTTTTTGGAATTTGCAAGTGCAGATTTCAAGCGCTTCTAGGCCTATGGCAGAAAAGGAAATATCTTCGTATAAAAACTACACAGAATCATTCTCAACAACTACTTTGTGATGTGTGCCTTCAACTCACAGAGTTTAACCTTTCTTTTCATAGAGCAGTTTGGAAACACTCTGTTTGTAAAGCCTGCAAGTGCTTTTTTGGACTTCATTGAGGTCTTCGTTGGAAACGGGATTTCTTCATATAATGCTAGACAGAAGAATTCTCAGTCACTTCTTTGTGTTGTGTGTATTCAAGTCACAGAGTTGAACCTTCCTTTAGACAGAGCAGTTTTGAAAAATTCTTTCTGTGGAGTTTGCAAGTGGAGATTTCAAGCGATTTGAGGCTAATCTTTGAAATGGAAATATCTTCGTGTAAAAACTACACAGAATCATTCTCAGAAACTGCTTTGTTATGTGTGCGTTCAGCTCACAGAGTTCCACCTTTCTTTTCATAGAGCAGTTTGGAAAGACTCTGTCTGTAAAGTCTGCAAGTGATTACTTGGACCCCTTTGAGGACTTCGTTGGAAGCGGGATTTTTTCATTTACTGCTAGACAGAAGAATTCTCAGTAAATCCTTTGTGTTGTGTGTATTCAACTCACAGAGTGGAACCTTCCTTTATTCAGAGCAGTTTTGAAACACTCTTTTTGTGGAATTTGCAAGTGGAGATTTCAAGCGAATTCACGCCAATCTTAGACATGGAAACATCTTCGTATTAAAAGTACACAGAGTCATTCGCAGAAACTAGTTTGTGATGTGTGCCTTCAACTCACGGAGTTTAACCTTTCTTTTCATAGAGCAGTTTGGAAACACTCTATTTGTAAAGTCTGCAAGTGGATATTTGGACCTCTTTGAGGCCTTCGTTGGAAACGGGATTTCTTCATATAACGCTAGACAGAAGAATTCTCAGTAACTTCTTTGTGTTGTGTGTATTCCACTCACAGAGTTGAACCTTTCTTGAGAGAGAGCAGAGTTGAAACACTCTGTTTGTGGAATTTGCTAGTGCAGATTTCAAACGCTTCGAAGACAGTGATAGAAAAGGATATATCTTCGTATTAAAACTAGACAAAATCATTCTCAACAACTACTTTGTGAATGTGTGCGTTCAACTCACAGAGTTTAACCTTTCTTTTCATAGAGCAGTTTGGAAACACTCTGTTTGTAAAGCCTGCAAGTGCTTTTTTGGACTTCATTGAGGCCTTCGTTGGAAACGGGATTTCTTCATATAATGCTAGACAGAAGAATTCTCAGTCACTTCTTTGTGTTGTGTGTATTCAAGTCACAGAGTTGAACTTTCCTTTACACAGAGCAGTTTTGAAAAACTCTTTCTGTGGAATTTGCAAGTGGAGATTTCAAGCGATTTGAGGCTAATCTTTGAAATGGAAATAGCTTCGTGTAAAAACTACACAGAATCATTCTCAGAAACTGCTTTGTTATGTGTGCGTTCAGCTCACAGAGTTCCACCTTTCTTTTCATAGAGCAGTTTGGAAAGACTCTGTCTGTAAAGTCTGCAAGTGATTACTTGGACCCCTTTGAGGACTTCGTTGGAAGCGGGATTTTTTCATTTACTGCTAGACAGAAGAATTCTCAGTAAATCCTTTGTGTTGTGTGTATTCAACTCACAGAGTGGAACCTTCCTTTATTCAGAGCAGTTTTGAAACACTCTTTTTGTGGAATTTGCAAGTGGAGATTTCAAGCGAATTCACGCCAATCTTAGACATGGAAACATCTTCGTATTAACAGTACACAGAGTCATTCGTAGAAACTAGTTTGTGATGTGTGCCTTCAACTCACAGAGTTTAACCTTTCTTTTCATAGAGCAGTTGGGAAACACTCTATTTGTAAAGTCTGCAAGTGGATATTTGGACCTCTTTGAGGCCTTCGTTGGAAACGGGATTTCTTCATATAACGCTAGACAGAAGAATTCTCAGTAACTTCTTTGTGTTGTTTGTATTCAACTCACAGATTTGAACCTTCCTTTAGAGAGAGCAGATTTGAAACACTCTGTTTTCGGAATTTGCAAGTGCAGATTACAAGCGCTTCTAGGCCTATGGCAGAAAAGGAAATATCTTCGTATAAAAACTACACAGAGTCATTCGCAGAAACTAGTTTGTGATGTGTGCGTTCAACTCACAGAGTTTAACCTTTCTTTTCATAGAGCAGTTTGGAAACACTCTGTTTGTAAAGTCTGCAGGTGCTTATTTGGACTTCTTTGAGGCCTTCGTTGGAAACGGGATTTCTTCATATAATGCTAGACAGAAGAATTCTCAGTCACTTCTTTGTGTTGTGTGTATTCAAGTCACAGAGTTGAACCTTCCTTTAGACAGAGCAGTTTTGAAAAATTCTTTCTGTGGAGTTTGCAAGTGGAGATTTCAAGCGATTTGAGGCTAATCTTTGAAATGGAAATATCTTCGTGTAAAAACTACACAGAATCATTCTCAGAAACTGCTTTGTTATGTGTGCGTTCAGCTCACAGAGTTCCACCTTTCTTTTCATAGAGCAGTTTGGAAAGACTCCGTCTGTAAAGTCTGCAAATGATTACTTGGACCCCTTTGAGGACTTCGTTGGAAGCGGGATTTTTTCATTTACTGCTAGACAGAAGAATTCTCAGTAAATCCTTTGTGTTGTGTGTATTCAACTCACAGAGTGGAACCTTCCTTTATTCAGAGCAGTTTTGAAACACTCTTTTTGTGGAATTTGCAAGTGGAGATTTCAAGCGAATTCACGCCAATCTTAGACATGGAAACATCTTCGTATTAAAAGTACACAGAGTCATTCGTAGAAACTAGATTGTGATGTGTGCCTTCAACTCACAGAGTTTAACCTTTCTTTTCATAGAGCAGTTCGGAAACACTCTATTTGTAAAGTCTGCAAGTGGATATTTGGACCTCTTTGAGGCCTTCGTTGGAAACGGGATTTCTTCATATAAAGCTAGACAGAAGAATTCTCAGTAACTTCTTTGTGTTGTGTGTATTCAACTCACAGAGTTGAACCTTTCTTTAGAGGGAGCAGAGGTGAAACACTCTTTTTGTGGAATTTGCTAGTGTAGATTTCAAACGCTTCGAAGACAGTGATAGAAAAGGATATATCTTCGTATTAAAAGTAGACAAAATCATTCTCAGAAAACTCTTTGTGATGTGTGTGTTCAACTCACAGAGTTTAACCTTTCTTTAATCGAGCAGTTTGGAAATACACTCTTTGTAATTCTGCAGGTGGATATTTGGCCCTCTTTGAGCCCTTCGTTGGAAACGGGATTTCCTCATATAATGCTAGACAGAAGAATTCTCAGTCACTTCTTTGTGTTGTGTGTATTCAAGTCACAGAGTTGAACCTTCCTTTACACAGAGCAGTTTTGAAAAACTCTTTCTGTGGAATTTGCAAGTGGAGATTTCAAGCGATTTGAGGCTAATCTTTGAAATGGAAATAGCTTCGTGTAAAAACTACACAGAATCATTCTCAGAAACTGCTTTGTTATGTGTGCGTTCAGCTCACAGAGTTCCACCTTTCTTTTCATAGAGCAGTTTGGAAAGACTCTGTCTGTAAAGTCTGCAAGTGATTACTTGGACCTCTTTGAGGACTTCGTTGGAAGCGGGATTTTTTCATTTACTGCTAGACAGAAGAATTCTCAGTAAATCCTTTGTGTTGTGTGTATTCAACTCACAGAGTGGAACCTTCCTTTATTCAGAGCAGTTTTGAAACACTCTTTTTGTGGAATTTGCAAGTGGAGATTTCAAGCGATTTGACGCCAATCTTAGACATGGAAATATCTTCATATTAAAAGTACACAGAGTCATTCGTAGAAACTAGTTTGTGATGTGTGCCTTCAACTCACAGAGTTTAACCTTTCTTTTCATAGAGCAGTTTGGAAACACTCTATTTGTAAAGTCTGCAAGTGGATATTTGGACCTCTTTGAGGCCTTCGTTGGAAACGGGATTTCTTCATACAACGCTAGACAGAAGAATTCTCAGTAACTTCTTTGTGTTGTGTGTATTCCACTCACAGAGTTGAAGCTTCCTTGAGAGAGAGCAGAGTTGAAACACTCTGTTTGTGGAATTTGCTAGTGCAGATTTCAAACGCTTCGAAGACAGTGATAGAAAAGGATATATCTTCGTATTAAAACTAGACAAAATCATTCTCAGAAAACACTTTGTGATGTGTGTGTTCAACTCACAGAGTTTAACCTTTCTTTAATCGAGCAGTTTGGAAATACACTCTTTGTAAGTCTGCAGCTGGATAATTGTCCCTCTATGAGCCCTTCGTTGGAAACGGGATTTCCTCTTATAATGCTAGACAGAAGAATTCTCAGTCACTTCTTTGTGTTGTGTGTATTCAAGTCACAGAGTTGAACCTTCCTTTAGACAGAGTAGTTTTGAAAAATTCTTTCTGTGGAGTTTGCAAGTGGAGATTTCAATCGATTTGAGGCTAATCTTTGAAATGGAAATATCTTCGTGTAAAAACTACACAGAATCATTCTCAGAAACTGCTTTGTCATCTGTGCGTTCAGTTCACAGAGTTTCACCTTTCTCTTCATAGAGCAGTTTGGAAAGACTCTGTCTGTAAAGTCTGCAAGTGATTAGTTAGACCCCTTTGAGGCCTTCGTTGGAAGCGGGATTTCTCATTTACTGCTAGACAGAAGAATTCTCAGTAAATCCTTTGTCTTGTGTGAATTCAACTCACAGAGTTGAACCTTCCTTTATTCAGAGAAGTTTTGAAAAACACTTTTTGTGGAATTTGCAAGTGGAGATTTCAAGCGATTTGACGCCAATCTTAGACGTGGAAATATCTTCATATTAAAAGTACACAGAGTCATTCGTAGAAACTAGTTTGTGATGTGTGCCTTCAACTCACAGAGTTTAACCTTTCTTTTCATAGAGCAGTTTGGAAACACTCTATTTGTAAAGTCTGCAAGTGGATATTTGGACCTGTTTGAGGCCTTCGTTGGAAATGGGATTTCTTCATATAACGCTAGACAGAAGAATTCTTAATAACTTCTTTGTGTTGTTTGTATTCAACTCACAGATTTGAACCTTCCTTTAGAGAGAGCAGATTTGACACACTCTGTTTTTGGAATTTGCAACTGCAGATTTCAAGCGCTTCTAGGCCTATGGCAGAAAAGGAATTATCTTCGTATAAAAACTACACAGAATCATTCTCAACAACTACTTTGTGATGTGTGCGTTCAACTCACAGAGTTTAACCTTTCTTTTCATAGAGCAGTTTGGAAACACTCTGTTTGTAAAGCCTGCAAGTGCTTTTTTGGACTTCATTGAGGCCTTCGTTGGAAACGGGATTTCTTCATATAATGCTAGACAGAAGAATTCTCAGTCACTTCTTTGTGTTGTGTGTATTCAAGTCACAGAGTTGAACCTTCCTTTAGACAGAGCAGTTTTGAAAAATTCTTTCTGTGGAGTTTGCAAGTGGAGATTTCAAGCGATTTGAGGCTAATCTTTGAAATGGAAATATCTTCGTGTAAAAACTACACAGAATCATTGTCAGAAACTGCTTTGTTATGTGTGCGTTCAGCTCACAGAGTTCCACCTTTCTTTTCATAGAGCAGTTTGGAAAGACTCTGTCTGTAAAGTCTGCAAGTGATTACTTGGACCCCTTTGAGGACTTCGTTGGAAGCGGGATTTTTTCATTTACTGCTAGACAGAAGAATTCTCAGTAAATCCTTTGTGTTGTGTGTATTCAACTCACAGAGTGGAACCTTCCTTTATTCAGAGCAGTTTTGAAACACTCTTTTTGTGGAATTTGCAAGTGGAGATTTCAAGCGAATTCACGCCAATCTTAGACATGGAAACATCTTCGTATTAAAAGTACACAGAGTCATTCGTAGAAACTAGTTTGTGATGTGTGCCTTCAACTCACAGAGTTTAACCTTTCTTTTCATAGAGCAGTTTGGAAACACTCTATTTGTAAAGTCTGCAAGTGGATATTTGGACCTCTTTGAGGCCTTCGTTGGAAACGGGATTTCTTCATACAACGCTAGACAGAAGAATTCTCAGTAACTTCTTTGTGTTGTTTGTATTCAACTCACAGATTTGAACCTTCCTTTGGAGAGAGCAGATTTGAAACACTCTGTTTTTGGAATTTGCAAGTGCAGATTGCAAGCGCTTCTAGGCCTATGGCAGAAAATTAAATATCTTCGTATAAAAACTACACAGAATCATTCTCAACAACTACTTTGTGATGTGTGCGTTCAACTCACAGAGTTTAACCTTTCTTTTCATAGAGCAGTTTGGAAACACTCTGTTTGTAAAGTCTGCAGGTGCTTATTTGGACTTCTTTGAGGCCTTCGTTGGAAACGGGATTTCTTCGTATAATGCTAGACAGAAGAATTCTCAGTCACTTCTTTGTGTTGTGTGTATTCAAGTCACAGAGTTGAACCTTCCTTTACACAGAGCAGTTTTGAAAAACTCTTTCTGTGGAATTTGCAAGTGGAGATTTCAAGCGATTTGAGGCTAATCTTTGAAATGGAAATATCTTCGTGTAAAAACTACACAGAATCATTCTCAGAAACTGCTTTGTCATCTGTGCGTTCAGTTCACAGAGTTTCACCTTTCTCTTCATAGAGCAGTTTGGAAAGACTCTGTCTGTAAAGTCTGCAAGTGATTAGTTAGACCCCTTTGAGGCCTTCGTTGGAAGCGGGATTTCTCATTTACTGCTAGACAGAAGAATTCTCAGTAAATCCTTTGTGTTGTGTGTATTCAACTCACAGAGTGGAACCTTCCTTTATTCAGAGCAGTTTTGAAAAACACTTTTCGTGGAATTTGCAAGTGGAGATTTCAAGCGATTTGACGCCAATCTTAGACATGGAAATATCTTCATATTAAAAGTACACAGAGTCATTCGTAGAAACTAGTTTGTGATGTGTGCCTTCAACTCACAGAGTTTAACCTTTCTTTTCATAGAGCAGTTTGGAAACACTCTATTTGTAAAGTCTGCAAGTGGATATTTGGACCTCTTTGAGGCCTTCGTTGGAAACGGGATTTCTTCATACAACGCTAGACAGAAGAATTCTCAGTAACTTCTTTGTGTTGTTTGTATTCAACTCACAGATTTGAACCTTCCTTTGGAGAGAGCAGATTTGAAACACTCTGTTTTTGGAATTTGCAAGTGCAGATTGCAAGCGCTTCTAGGCCTATGGCAGAAAAGGAAATATCTTCGTATAAAAACTACACAGAATCATTCTCAACAACTACTTTGTGATGTGTGCGTTCAACTCACAGAGTTTAACCTTTCTTTTCATAGAGCAGTTTGGAAACACTCTGTTTTTAAAGTCTGCAGGTGCTTATTTGGACTTCTTTGAGGCCTTCGTTGGAAACGGGATTTCTTCATATAATGCTAGACAGAAGAATTCTCAGTCACTTCTTTGTGTTGTGTGTATTCAAGTCACAGAGTTGAACCTTCCTTTACACAGAGCAGTTTTGAAAAACTCTTTCTGCGGAATTTGCAAGTGGAGATTTCAAGCGATTTGAGGCTAATCTTTGAAATGGAAATATCTTCGTGTAAAAACTACACAGAATCATTCTCAGAAACTGCTTTGTTATGTGTGCGTTCAGCTCACAGAGTTCCACCTTTCTTTTCATAGAGCAGTTTGGAAAGACTCTGTCTGTAAAGTCTGCAAGTGATTACTTGGACCCCTTTGAGGACTTCTTTGGAAGCGGGATTTTTTCATTTACTGCTATACAGAAGAATTCTCAGTAAATCCTTTGTGTTGTGTGTATTCAACTCACAGAGTGGAACCTTCCTTTATTCAGAGCAGTTTTGAAACACTCTTTTTGTGGAATTTGCAAGTGGAGATTTCAAGCGATTTGACGCCAATCTTAGACATGGAAATATCTTCATATTAAAAGTACACAGAGTCATTCGCAGAAACTAGTTTGTGATGTGTGCCTTCAACTCACGGAGTTTAACCTTTCTTTTCATAGAGCAGTTTGGAAACACTCTATTTGTAAAGTCTGCAAGTGGATATTTGGACCTCTTTGAGGCCTTCGTTGGAAACGGGATTTCTTCATATAACGCTAGACAGAAGAATTCTCAGTAACTTCTTTGTGTTGTTTGTATTCAACACACAGATTTGAACCTTCCTTTAGAGAGAGCAGATTTGAAACCCTCTGTTTTTGGAATTTGCAAGTGCAGATTTCAAGCGCTTCTAGGCGTATGGCAGAAAAGGAAATATCTTCGTATAAAAACTACACAGAATCATTCTCAACAACTACTTTGTGATGTGTGCGTTCAACTCACAGAGTTTAACCTTTCTTTTCATAGTGCAGTTATGAAACACTCTGTTTGTAAAGCCTGCAAGTGCTTTTTTGGACTTCATTGAGGCCTTCGTTGGAAACGGGATTTCTTCATATAATGCTAGACAGAAGAATTCTCAGTCACTTCTTTGTGTTGTGTGTATTCAAGTCACAGGGTTGAACCTTCCTTTAGACAGAGCAGTTTTGAAAAATTCTTTCTGTGGAGTTTGCAAGTGGAGATTTCAAGCGATTTGAGGCTAATCTTTGAAATGGAAATATCTTCGTGTAAAAACTACACAGAAGCATTCTCAGAAACTGCTTTGTCATCTGTGCGTTCAGTTCACAGAGTTTCACCTTTCTCTTCATAGAGCAGTTTGGAAAGACTCTGTCTGTAAAGTCTGCAAGTGATTAGTTAGACCCCTTTGAGGCCTTCGTTGGAAGCGGGATTTCTCATTTACTGCTAGACAGAAGAATTCTCAGTAAATCCTTTGTGTTGTGTGTATTCAACTCACAGAGTGGAACCTTCCTTTATTCAGAGCAGTTTTGAAAAACACTTTTTGTGGAATTTGCAAATGGAGATTTCAACCGATTTGACGGCAATCTTAGACATGGAAATATCTTCATATTAAAAGTACACAGAGTCATTCGCAGAAACTAGTTTGTGATGTGTGCCTTCAACTCACGGAGTTTAACCTTTCTTTTCATAGAGCAGTTTGGAAACACTCTATTTGTAAAGTCTGCAAGTGGATATTTGGACCTCTTTGAGGCCTTCGTTGGAAACGGGATTTCTTCATATAACGCTAGACAGAAGAATTCTCAGTAACTTCTTTGTGTTGTTTGTATTCAACTCACAGATTTGAACCTTCCTTTGGAGAGAGCAGATTTGAAACACTCTGTTTTTGGAATTTGCAAGTGCAGATTGCAAGCGCTTCTAGGCCTATGGCAGAAAAGGAAATATCTTCGTATAAAAACTACACAGAATCATTCTCAACAACTACTTTGTGATGTGTGCGTTCAACTCACAGAGTTTAACCTTTCTTTTCATAGAGCAGTTTGGAAACACTCTGTTTGTAAAGCCTGCAAGTGCTTTTTTGGACTTCATTGAGGCCTTCGTTGGAAACGGGATTTCTTCATATAATGCTAGACAGAAGAATTCTCAGTCACTTCTTTGTGTCGTGTGTATTCAAGTCACAGAGTTGAACCTTCCTTTAGACAGAGCAGTTTTGAAAAATTCTTTCTGTGGAGTTTGCAAGTGGAGATTTCAAGCGATTTGAGGCTAATCTTTGAAATGGAAATATCTTCGTGTAAAAACTACACAGAAGCATTCTCAGAAACTGCTTTGTCATCTGTGCGTTTAGTTCACAGAGTTTCACCTTTCTCTTCATACAGCAGTTTGGAAAGACTCTGTCTGTAAAGTCTGCAAGTGATTAGTTAGACCCCTTTGAGGCCTTCGTTGGAAGCGGGATTTCTCATTTACTGCTAGACAGAGGAATTCTCAGTAAATCCTTTGTGTTGTGTGTATTCAACTCACAGAGTGGAACCTTCCTTTATTCAGAGCAGTTTTGAAAAACACTTTTTGTGGAATTTGCAAGTGGAGATTTCAAGCGATTTGACGCCAATCTTAGACATGTAAATATCTTCATATTAAAAGTACACAGAAGTCATTCGCAGAAACTAGTTTGTGATGTGTGCCTTCAACTCACAGAGTTTAAGCTTTCTTTTCATAGAGCAGTTTGGAAACACTCTATTTGTAAAGTCTGCAAGTGGATATTTGGACCTCTTTGAGGCCTTCGTTGGAAACGGGATTTCTTCATATAACGCTAGACAGAAGAATTCTCAGTAACTTCTTTGTGTTGTTTGTATTCAACTCACAGATTTGAACCTTCCTTTAGAGAGAGCAGATTTGAAACACTCTGTTTTTGGAATTTGCAAGTGCAGATTACAAGCGCTTCTAGGCCTATGGCAGAAAAGGAAATATCTTCGTATAAAAACTACACAGAATCATTCTCAACAACTACTTTGTGATGTGTGCGTTCAGCTCACAGAGTTTAACCTTTCTTTTCATAGAGCAGTTTGGAAACACTCTGTTTGTAAAGTCTGCAGGTGCTTATTTGGACTTCTTTGAGGCCTTCGTTGGAAACGGGATTTCTTCATATAATGCTAGACAGAAGAATTCTCAGTCACTTCTTTGTGTTGTGTGTATTCAAGTCACAGAGTTGAACCTTCCTTTACACAGAGCAGTTTTGAAAAACTCTTTCTGTGGAATTTGCAAGTGGAGATTTCAAGCGATTTGAGGCTAATCTTTGAAATGGAAATAGCTTCGTGTAAAAACTACACAGAATCATTCTCAGAAACTGCTTTGTCATCTGTGCGTTCAGTTCACAGAGTTTCACCTTTCTCTTCATAGAGCAGTTTGGAAAGACTCTGTCTGTAAAGTCTGCAAGTGATTAGTTAGACCCCTTTGAGGCCTTCGTTGGAAGCGGGATTTCTCATTTACTGCTAGACAGAAGAATTCTCAGTAAATCCGTGGTGTTGTGTGCATTCAACTCACAGAGTGGAACCTTCCTTTATTCAGAGCAGTTTTGAAACACTCTTTTTGTTTAATTTGCAAGTGGAGATTTCAAGCGATTTGACGCCAATCTTAGACATGGAAATATCTTCATATTAAAAGTACACAGAATCATTCGTAGAAACTAGTTTGTGATGTGTGCCTTCAACTCACAGAGTTTAACCTTTCTTTTCATAGAGCAGTTAGGAAACATTCTATTTGTAAAGTCTGCAAGTGGATATTTGGACCTCTTTGAGGCCTTCGTTGGAAAAGGGATTTCTTCATACAACGCTAGACAGAAGAATTCTCAGTAACTTCTTTGTGTTGTGTGTATTCAACTCACAGAGTTGAACCTTTCTTTAGAGAGAGCAGAGTTGAAACACTCTGTTTTTGGAATTTGCAAGTGCAGATTTCAAGCCCTTCTAGGCCTATGGCAGAAAAGGAAATATCTTCGTATAAAAACTACACAGAATCATTCTCAACAACTACTTTGTGATGTGTGCGTTCAACTCACAGAGTTTAACCTTTCTTTTCATAGAGCAGTTTGGAAACACTCTGTGTGTAAAGCCTGCAAGTGCTTTTTTGGACTTCATTGAGGCCTTCGTTGGAAAGGGGATTTCTTCATATAATGCTAGACAGAAGAATTCTCAGTAAATCCTTTGTGTTGTGTGTATTCAACTCACAGAGTGGAACCTTCCTTTATTCAGAGCAGTTTTGAAACACTCTTTTTGTGGAATTTGCAAGTGGAGATTTCAAGCGATTTGATGCCAATCTTAGACATGGAAATATCTTCATATTAAAAGTACACAGAATCATTCTCAACAACTACTTTGTGATGTGTGCGTTCAACTCACAGAGTTTAACCTTTCTTTTCATAGAGCAGTTTGGAAACACTCTGTTTGTAAAGCCTGCAAGTGCTTTTTTGGACTTCATTGAGGCCTTCGTTGGAAACGGGATTTCTTCATACAACGCTAGACAGAGAGAATTCTCAGTAACTTCTTTGTGTTGTGTGTATTCAACTCACAGAGTTGAACCTTTCTTTAGAGAGAGCAGAGTTGAAACACTCTGTTTTTGGAATTTGCAAGGGCAGATTTCAAGCGATTCTAGGCCTATGGCAGAAAAGGGAATATCTTCGTATAAAAACTACACAGAATCATTCTCAACAACTACTTTGTGATGTGTGCGTTCAACTCACAGAGTTTAACCTTTCTTTTCATAGAGCAGTTTGGAAACACTCTGTAAAGCCTGCAAGTGCTTCTTTGGACTTCATTGAGGCCTTCATTGGAAACGGGATTTCTTCATATAATGCTAGACAGAAGAATTCTCAGTCACTTCTTTGTGTTGTGTGTATTCAAGTCACAGAGTTGAACCTTCGTTTAGACAGAGCAGTTTTGAAAAATTGTTTCTGTGGAGTTTGCAAGTGGAGATTTCAAGCGATTTGAGGCTAATCTTTGAAATGGAAATATCTTCGTGTAAAAACTACACAGAATCATTCTCAACAACTACTTTGTGATGTGTGCGTTCAACTCACAAAGTTTAACCTTTCTTTTCATAGAGAAGTTTGGAAACACTCTGTTTGTAAACCCTGCAAGTGCTTTTTTGGACTTCATTGAGGCCTTCGTTGGAAACGGGATTTCTTCATATAATGCTAGACAGAAGAATTCTCAGTAAATCCTTTGTGTTGTGTTTATTCAACTCACAGAGTGGAACCTTCTTTTATTCAGAGCAGTTTTGAAACACTCTTTTTGTGGAATTTGCAAGTGGAGATTTCAAGCGATTTGACGTCAATCTTAGACATGGAAATATCTTCATATTAAAAGTACACAGATTCATTCGTAGAAACTAGTTTGTGATGTGTGCCTTCAACTCACAGAGTTTAACCTTTCTTTTCATAGAGCAGTTCGGAAACACTCTATTTGTAAAGTCTGCAAGTGGATATTTGGACCTCTTTGAGGCCTTCGTTGGAAACGGGATTTCTTCATATAACGCTAGACAGAAGAATTTTCAGTAACTTCCTTGTGTTGTGTGTATTCAACTCACAGAGTTGAACTTTTCTTTAGAGAGAGCAGAGTTGAAACACTCTTTTTGTGGAATTTGCTAGTGCAGATTTCAAACGCTTCGAAGACAGTGATAGAAAAGGATATATCTTCGTATTAAAACTAGACAAAATCATTCTCAGAAAACACTTTGTGATGTGTGTGTTCAACTCACAGAGTTTAACCTTTCTTTAATCGAGCAGTTTGGAAATACACTCTTTGTAAGTCTGCAGGTGGATAATTGGCCCTCTTTGAGCCCTTCGTTGGAAACGGGATTTCCTCATATAATGCTAGACAGAAGAATTCTCAGTCACTTCTTTGTGTTGTGTGTATTCAAGTCACAGAGTTGAACCTTCCTTTAGACAGAGCAGTTTTGAAAAATTCTTTCTGTGGAGTTTGCAAGTGGAGATTTCAAGCGATTTGAGGCTAATCTTTGAAATGGAAATATCTTCGTGTAAAAACTACACAGAATCATTCTCAGAAACTGCTTTGTTATGTGTGCGTTCAGCTCACAGAGTTCCACCTTTCTTTTCATAGAGCAGTTTGGAAAGACTCTGTCTGTAAAGTCTGCAAGTGATTACTTGGACCCCTTTGAGGACTTCGTTGGAAGCGGGATTTTTTCATTTACTGCTAGACAGAAGAATTCTCAGTAAATCCTTTGTGTTGTGTGTATTCAACTCACAGAGTGGAACCTTCCTTTATTCAGAGCAGTTTTGAAACACTCTTTTTGTGGAATTTGCAAGTGGAGATTTCAAGCGAATTCACGCCAATCTTAGACATGGAAACATCTTCGTATTAAAAGTACACAGAGTCATTCGCAGAAACTAGTTTGTGATGTGTGCCTTCAACTCACGGAGTTTAACCTTTCTTTTCATAGAGCAGTTTGGAAACACTCTATTTGTAAAGTCTGCAAGTGGATATTTGGACCTCTTTGAGGCCTTCGTTGGAAACGGGATTTCTTCATATAACGCTAGACAGAAGAATTCTCAGTAACTTCTTTGTGTTGTTTGTATTCAACTCACAGATTTGAACCTTCCTTTAGAGAGAGCAGATTTGAAACACTCTGTTTTTGGAATTTGCAAGTGCAGATTACAAGTGCTTCTAGGCCTATGGCAGAAAAGGAAATATCTTCGTATAAAAACTACACAGAATCATTCTCAACAACTACTTTGTGATGTGTGCGTTCAACTCACAGAGTTTAACCTTTCTTTTCATAGAGCAGTTTGGAAACACTCTGTTTGTAAAGTCTGCCGGTGCTTATTTGGACTTACTTTGAGGCCTTCGTTGGAAACGGGATTTCTTCATATAATGCTAGACAGAGAGATTCTCAGTCACTTCTTTGTGTTGTGTGTATTCAAGTCACAGAGTTGAACCTTCCTTTACACAGAGCAGTTTTGAAAAACTCTTTCTGTGGAATTTGCAAGTGGAGATTTCAAGCGATTTGAGGCTAATCTTTGAAATGGAAATATCTTCGTGTAAAAACTACACAGAATCATTCTCAGAAACTGCTTTGTTATGTGTGCGTTCAGCTCACAGAGTTCCACCTTTCTTTTCATAGAGCAGTTTGGAAAGACTCTGTCTGTAAAGTCTGCAAGTGATTACTTGGACCCCTTTGAGGACTTCGTTGGAAGCGGGATTTTTTCATTTACTGCTAGACAGAAGAATTCTCAGTAAATCCTTTGTGTTGTGTGTATTCAACTCACAGAGTGGAACCTTCCTTTATTCAGAGCAGTTTTGAAAAACACTTTTAGTGGAATTTGCAAGTGGAGATTTCAAGCGATTTGACGCCAATCTTAGACATGGAAATATCTTCATATTAAAAGTACACAGAGTCATTCGTAGAAACTAGTTTGTGATGTGTGCCTTCAACTCACAGTTTAACCTTTCTTTTCATAGAGCAGTTGGGAAACACTCTATTTGTAAAGTCTGCAAGTGGATATTTGGACCTCTTTGAGACCTTCGTTGGAAACGGGATTTCTTCATATAACGCTAGACAGAAGAATTCTCAGTAACTTCTTTGTGTTGTGTGTATTCAACTCACAGAGTTGAACCTTTCTTTAGAGGGAGCAGAGGTGAAACACTCTTTTTGTGGAATTTGCTAGTGTAGATTTCAAACGCTTCGAAGACAGTGATAGAAAAGGATATATCTTCGTATTAAAAGTAGACAAAATCATTCTCAACAACTACTTTGTGATGTGTGCGTTCAACTCACAGAGTTTAACCTTTCTTTTCATAGAGCAGTTTGGAAACACTCTGTTTGTAAAGCCTGCAAGTGCTTTTTTGGACTTCATTGAGGCCTTCGTTGGAAACGGGATTTCTTCATGTAATGCTAGACAGAAGAATTCTCAGTAACTTCTTTGTGTTGTGTGTATTCAAGTCACAGAGTTGAACCTTCCTTTACACAGAGCAGTTTTGAAAAACTCTTTCTGTGGAATTTGCAAGTGGAGATTTCAAGCGATTTGAGGCTAATCTTTGAAATGGAAATAGCTTCGTGTAAAAACTACACAGAATCATTCTCAGAAACTGCTTTGTTATGTGTGCGTTCAGCTCACAGAGTTCCACCTTTCTTTTCATAGAGCAGTTTGGAAAGACTCTGTCTGTAAAGTCTGCAAGTGATTACTTGGACCCCTTTGAGGACTTCGTTGGAAGCGGGATTTTTTCATTTACTGCTATACAGAAGAATTCTCAGTAAATCCTTTGTGTTGTGTGTATTCAACTCACAGAGTGGAACCTTCCTTTATTCAGAGCACTTTTGAAACACTCTTTTTGTGGAATTTGCAAGTGGAGATTTCAAGCGAATTCACGCCAATCTTAGACATGGAAACATGCTTCGTATTAAAAGTACACAGAGACATTCGTAGAAACTAGTTTGTGATGTGTGCCTTCAACTCACAGTTTAACCTTTCTTTTCATAGAGCAGTTGGGAAACACTCTATTTGTAAAGTCTGCAAGTGGATATTTGGACCTCTTTGAGACCTTCGTTGGAAACGGGATTTCTTCATATAACGCTAGACAGAAGAATTCTCAGTAACTTCTTTGTGTTGTGTGTATTCAACTCACCGAGTTGAACCTTTCTTTAGAGATAGCAGAGTTGAAACACTCTTCTTGTGGAATTTGCTAGTGTAGATTTCAAACGCTTCGAAGACAGTGATAGAAAAGGATATATCTTCGTATTAAAACTAGACAAAATCATTCTCAGAAAACACTTTGTGATGTGTGTGTTCAACTCACAGAGTTTAACCTTTCTTTAATCGAGCAGTTTGGAAATACACTCTTTGTAAGTCTGCAGGTGTATAATTGGCCCTCTTTGAGCCCTTCGTTGGAAACGGGATTTCCTCATATAATGCTAGACAGAAGAATTCTCAGTAACTTCTTTGTGTTGTTTGTATTCAACTCACAGATTTGAACCTTCCTTTAGAGAGAGCAGATTTGAAACACTCTGTTTTTGGAATTTGCAAGTGCAGATTTCAAGCGCTTCTAGGCCTATGGCAGAAAAGGAAATATCTTCGTATAAAAACTACACAGAATCATTCTCAGAAAACACTTTGTGATGTGTGTGTTCAACTCACAGAGTTTAACCTTTCTTTAATCGAGCAGTTTGGAAATACACTCTTTGTAAGTCTGCAGCTGGATAATTGTCCCTCTATGAGCCCTTCGTTGGAAACGGGATTTCCTCTTATAATGCTAGACAGAAGAATTCTCAGTCACTTCTTTGTGTTGTGTGTATTCAAGTCACAGAGTTGAACCTTCCTTTACACAGAGCAGTTTTGAAAAACTCTTTCTGTGGAATTTGCAAGTGGAGATTTCAAGCGATTTGAGGCTAATCTTTGAAATGGAAATATCTTCGTGTAAAAACTACACAGAATCATTCTCAGAAACTGCTTTGTTATGTGTGCGTTCAGCTCACAGAGTTCCACCTTTCTCTTCATAGAGCAGTTTGGAAAGACTCTGTCTGTAAAGTCTGCAAGTGATTACTTGGACCCCTTTGAGGACTTCGTTGGAAGCGGGATTTTTTCATTTACTGCTAGACAGAAGAATTCTCAGTAAGTCCTTTGTGTTGTGTGTATTCAACTCACAGAGTGGAACCTTCCTTTATTCAGAGCAGTTTTGAAACACTCTTTTTGTGGAATTTGCAAGTGGAGATTTCAAGCGATTTGACGCCAATCTTAGACATGGAAATATCTTCATATTAAAAGTACACAGAGTCATTCGTAGAAACTAGTTTGTGATGTGTGCCTTCAACTCACAGAGTTTAACCTTTCTTTTCATAGAGCAGTTGGGAAAAACTCTATTTGTAAAGTCTGCAAGTGGATATTTGGACCTCTTTGAGGCCTTCGTTGGAAACGGGATTTCTTCATATAACGTTAGACAGAAGAATTCTCAGTAACTTCTTTGTGTTGTGTGTATTCCACTCACAGAGTTGAAGCTTCCTTGAGAGAGAGCAGAGTTGAAACACTCTGTTTGTGGAATTTGCTAGTGCAGATTTCAAACGCTTCGAAGACAGTGATAGAAAAGGATATATCTTCGTATTAAAACTAGACAAAGTCATTCGCAGAAACTAGTTTGTGATGTGTGCCTTCAACTCACGGAGTTTAACCTTTCTTTTCATAGAGCAGTTTGGAAACACTCCATTTGTAAAGTCTGCAAGTGGATATTTGGACCTCTTTGAGGCCTTCGTTGGAAACGGGATTTCTTCATATAACGCTAGACAGAAGAATTCTCAGTAACTTCTTTGTATTGTGTGTATTCAACTCACAGAGTTGAACCTTTCTTGAGAGAGAGCAGAGTTGAAACACTCTTTCTGTGGAATTTGCTAGTGCAGATTTCAAACGCTTCGAAGACAGTGATAGAAAAGGATATATCTTCGTATTAAAACTAGACAAAATCATTCTCAGAAAACACTTTGTGATGTGTGTGTTCAACTCACAGAGTTTAACCTTTCTTTAATCGAGCAGTTTGGAAATACTCTCTTTGTAAGTCTGCAGGTGGATAATTGTCCCTCTATGAGCCCTTCGTTGGAAACGGGATTTCCTCTTATAATGCTAGACAGAAGAATTCTCAGTCACTTCTTTGTGTTGTGTGTATTCAAGTCACAGAGTTGAACCTTCCTTTACACAGAGCAGTTTTGAGAAACTCTTTCTGTGGAATTTGCAAGTGGAGATTTCAAGCGATTTGAGGCTAATCTTTGAAATGGAAATATCTTCGTGCAAAAACTACACAGAATCATTCTCAGAAACTGCTTTGTCATCTGTGCGTTCAGTTCACAGAGTTTCACCTTTCTCTTCATAGAGCAGTTTGGAAAGACTCTGTCTGTAAAGTCTGCAAGTGATTAGTTAGACCCCTTTGAGGCCTTCGTTGGAAGCGGGATTTCTCATTTACTGCTAGACAGAAGAATTCTCAGTAAATCCTTTGTGTTGTGTGTATTCAACTCACAGAGTGGAACCTTCCTTTATTCAGAGCAGTTTTGAAACACTCTTTTTGTGGAATTTGCAAGTGGAGATTTCAAGCGAATTCACGCCAATCTTAGACATGGAAACATCTTCGTATTAAAAGTACACAGAGTCATTCGTAGAAACTAGTTTGTGATGTGTGCCTTCAACTCACAGAGTTTAACTTTTCTTTTCATAGAGCAGTTTGGAAACACTCTATTTGTAAAGTCTGCAAGTGGATATTTGGACCTCTTTGAGGCCTTCGTTGGAAACGGGATTTCTTCATACAACGCTAGACAGAAGAATTCTCAGTAACTTCTTTGTGTTGTGTGTATTCAACTCACAGAGTTGAACCTTTCTTGAGAGAGAGCAGAGTTGAAACACTCTGTTTGTGGAATTTGCTAGTGCAGATTTCAAACGCTTCGAAGACAGTGATAGAAAAGGATATATCTTCGTATTAAAACTAGACAAAATCATTCTCAACAACTACTTTGTGATGTGTGCGTTCAACTCACAGAGTTTAACCTTTCTTTTCATAGAGCAGTTTGGAAACACTCTGTTTGTAAAGCCTGCAAGTGCTTTTTTGGACTTCATTGAGGCCTTCGTTGGAAACGGGATTTCTTCATATAATGCTAGACAGAAGAATTCTCAGTCACTTCTTTGTGTTGTGTGTATTCAAGTCACAGAGTTGAACCTTCCTTTACACAGAGCAGTTTTGAAAAACTCTTTCTGTGGAATTTGCAAGTGGAGATTTCAAGCGATTTGAGGCTAATCTTTGAAATGGAAATATCTTCGTGTAAAAACTACACAGAATCATTCTCAGAAACTGCTTTGTCATCTGTGCGTTCAGTTCACAGAGTTTCACCTTTCTCTTCATAGAGCAGTTTGGAAAGACTCTGTCTGTAAAGTCTGCAAGTGATTAGTTAGACCCCTTTGAGGCCTTCGTTGGAAGCGGGATTTCTCATTTACTGCTAGACAGAAGAATTCTCAGTAAATCCTTTGTGTTGTGTGTATTCAACTCACAGAGTGGAACCTTCCTTTATTCAGAGCAGTTTTGAAACACTCTTTTTGTGGAATTTGCAAGTGGAGATTTCAAGCGATTTGACGCCAATCTTAGACATGGAAATATCTTCATATTAAAAGTACACAGAGTCATTCGCAGAAACTAGTTTGTGATGTGTGCCTTCAACTCACGGAGTTTAACCTTTCTTTTCATAGAGCAGTTTGGAAACACTCTATTTGTAAAGTCTGCAAGTGGATATTTGGACCTCTTTGAGGCCTTCGTTGGAAACGGGATTTCTTCATATAACGCTAGACAGAAGAATTCTCAGTAACTTCTTTGTGTTGTGTGTATTCAACTCACAGAGTTGAAACTTTCTTTAGAGAGAGCAGAGTTGAAACACTCTGTTTTTGGAATTTGCAAGTGCAGATTTCAAGCGATTCTAGGCCTATGGCAGAAAAGGAAATATCTTCGTATAAAAACTACACAGAATCATTCTCAACAACTACTTTGTGATGTGTGCGTTCAACTCACAGAGTTTAACCTTTCTTTTCATAGAGCAGTTTGGAAACACTCTGTTTGTAAAGTCTGCAGGTGCTTATTTGGACTTCTTTGAGGCCTTCGTTGGAAACGGGATTTCTTCATATAATGCTAGACAGAAGAATTCTCAGTCACTTCTTTGTGTTGTGTGTATTCAAGTCACAGAGTTGAACCTTCCATTACACAGAGCAGTTTTGAAAAACTCTTTCTGTGGAATTTGCAAGTGGAGATGTCAAGCGATTTGAGGCTAATCTTTGAAATGGAAATATCTTCGTGTAAAAACTACACAGAATCATTCTCAGAAACTGCTTTGTTATGTGTGCGTTCAGCTCACAGAGTTCCACCTTTCTTTTCATAGAGCAGTTTGGAAAGACTCTGTCTGTAAAGTCTGCAAGTGATTACTTGGACCCCTTTGAGGACTTCGTTGGAAGCGGGATTTTTTCATTTACTGCTAGACAGAAGAATTCTCAGTAAATCCTTTGTGTTGTGTGTATTCAACTCACAGAGTGGAACCTTCCTTTATTCAGAGCAGTTTTGAAACACTCTTTTTGTGGAATTTGCAAGTGGAGATTTCAAGCGAATTCACGCCAATCTTAGACATGGAAACATCTTCGTATTAAAAGTACACAGAGTCATTCGTAGAAACTAGTTTGTGATGTGTGCCTTCAACTCACAGAGTTTAACCTTTCTTTTCATAGAGCAGTTGGGAAACACTCTATTTGTAAAGTCTGCAAGTGGATATTTGGACCTCTTTGAGGCCTTCGTTGGAAACGGGATTTCTTCATATAACGCTAGACAGAAGAATTCTCAGTAACTTCTTTGTGTTGTTTTTATTCAACACACAGATTTGAACCTTCCTTTAGAGAGAGCAGATTTGAAACACTCTGTTTTTGGAATTTGCAAGTGCAGATTTCAAGCGCTTCTAGGCCTATGGCAGAAAAGGAAATATCTTCGTATAAAAACTACACAGAATCATTCTCAACAACTACTTTGTGATGTGTGCGTTCAACTCACAGAGTTTAACCTTTCTTTTCATAGAGCAGTTTGGAAACACTCTGTTTGTAAAGCCTGCAAGTGCTTTTTTGGACTTCATTGAGGCCTTCGTTGGAAACGGGATTTCTTCATATAATGCTAGACAGAAGAATTCTCAGTCACTTCTTTGTGTTGTGTGTATTCAAGTCACAGAGTTGAACCTTCCTTTAGACAGAGCAGTTTTGAAAAATTCTTTCTGTGGAGTTTGCAAGTGGAGATTTCAAGCGATTTGAGGCTAATCTTTGAAATGGAAATATCTTCGTGTAAAAACTACACAGAATCATTCTCAGAAACTGCTTTGTCATCTGTGCGTTCAGTTCACAGAGTTTCACCTTTCTCTTCATAGAGCAGTTTGGAAAGACTCTGTCTGTAAAGTCTGCAAGTGATTAGTTAGACCCCTTTGAGGCCTTCGTTGGAAGCGGGATTTCTCATTTACTGCTAGACAGAAGAATTCTCAGTAAATCCTTCGTGTTGTGTGTATTCAACTCACAGAGTGGAACCTTCCTTTATTCAGAGCAGTTTTGAAACACTCTTTTTGTGGAATTTGCAAGTGGAGATTTCAAGCGAATTCACGCCAATCTTAGACATGGAAACATCTTCGTATTAAAAGTACACAGAGTCATTCGCAGAAACTAGTTTGTGATGTGTGCCTTCAACTCACGGAGTTTAACCTTTCTTTTCATAGAGCAGTTTGGAAACACTCTATTTGTAAAGTCTGCAAGTGGATATTTGGACCTCTTTGAGGCCTTCGTTGGAAACGGGATTTCTTCATATAACGCTAGACAGAAGAATTCTCAGTAACTTCTTTGTGTTGTGTGTATTCAACTCACAGAGTTGAACCTTTCTTTAGAGGGAGCAGAGGTGAAACACTCTTTTTGTGGAATTTGCTAGTGTAGATTTCAAACGCTTCGAAGACAGTGATAGAAAAGGATATATCTTCGTATTAAAAGTAGACAAAATCATTCTCAACAACTACTTTGTGATGTGTGCGTTCAACTCACAGAGTTTAACCTTTCTTTTCATAGAGCAGTTTGGAAACACTCTGTTTGTAAAGCCTGCAAGTGCTTTTTTGGACTTCATTGAGGCCTTCGTTGGAAACGGGATTTCTTCATGTAATGCTAGACAGAAGAATTCTCAGTCACTTCTTTGTGTTGTGTGTATTCAAGTCACAGAGTTGAACCTTCCTTTAGACAGAGCAGTTTTGAAAAATTCTTTCTGTGTAATTTGCAAGTGGAGATTTCAAGCGATTTGAGGCTAATCTTTGAAATGGAAATATCTTCGTGTAAAAACTGCACAGAATCATTCTCAGAAACTGCTTTGTCATCTGTGCGTTCAGTTCACAGTAGTTTCACCTTTCTCTTCATAGAGCAGTTTGGAAAGACTCTGTCTGTAAAGTCTGCAAGTGATTAGTTAGACCCCTTTGAGGCCTTCGTTGGAAGCGGGATTTCTCATTTACTGCTAGACAGAAGAATTCTCAGTAAATCCTTTGTGTTGTGTGTATTCAACTCACAGAGTGGAACCTTCCTTTATTCAGAGCAGTTTTGAAAAACACTTTTTGTGGAATTTGCAAGTGGAGATTTCAAGCGATTTGACGCCAATCTTAGACATGGAAATATCTTCATATTAAAAGTACACAGAGTCATTCGCAGAAACTAGTTTGTGATGTGTGCCTTCAACTCACGGAGTTTAACCTTTCTTTTCATAGAGCAGTTTGGAAACACTCTATTTGTAAAGTCTGCAAGTGGATATTTGGACCTCTTTGAGGCCTTCGTTGGAAACGGGATTTCTTCATATAACGCTAGACAGAAGAATTCTCAGTAACTTCTTTGTGTTGTTTGTATTCAACTCACAGATTTGAACCTTCCTTTGGAGAGAGCAGATTTGAAACACTCTGTTTTTGGAATTTGCAAGTGCAGATTGCAAGCGCTTCTAGGCCTATGGCAGAAAAGGAAATATCTTCGTATAAAAACTACACAGAATCATTCTCAGAAAACACTTTGTGATGTGTGTGTTCAACTCACAGAGTTTAACCTTTCTTTAATCGAGCAGTTTGGAAATACACTCTTTGTAAGTCTGCAGCTGGATAATTGTCCCTCTATGAGCCCTTCGTTGGAAACGGGATTTCCTCTTATAATGCTAGACAGAAGCATTCTCAGTCACTTCTTTGTGTTGTGTGTATTCAAGTCACAGAGTTGAACCTTCCTTTAGACAGAGCAGTTTTGAAAAACTCTTTCTGTGGAATTTGCAAGTGGAGATTTCAAGCGATTTGAGGCTAATCTTTGAAATGGAAATATCTTCGTGTAAAAACTACACAGAAATCATTCTCAGCAAACTGCTTTGTTATGTGTGCGTTCAGCTCACAGAGTTCCACCTTTCTTTTCATAGAGCAGTTTGGAAAGACTCTGTCTGTAAAGTCTGCAAGTGATTACTTGGACCCCTTTGAGGACTTCGTTGGAAGCGGGATTTTTTCATTTACTGCTAGACAGAAGAATTCTCAGTAAATCCTTTGTGTTGTGTGTATTCAACTCACAGAGTGGAACCTTCCTTTATTCAGAGCAGTTTTGAAACACTCTTTTTGTGGAATTTGCAAGTGGAGATTTCAAGCGAATTCACGCCAATCTTAGACATGGAAACATCTTCGTATTAAAAGTACACAGATTCATTCGTAGAAACTGGTTTGTGATGTGTGCCTTCAACTCACAGAGTTTAACCTTTCTTTTCATAGAGCAGTTGGGAAACACTCTATTTGTAAAGTCTGCAAGTGGATATTTGGACCTCTTTGAGGCCTTCGTTGGAAACGGGATTTCTTCATACAACGCTAGACAGAGTAATTCTCAGTAACTTCTTTGTGTTGTTTGTATTCAACTCACCGATTTGAACCTTCCTTTGGAGAGAGCAGATTTGAAACACTCTGTTTTTGGAATTTGCAAGTGCAGATTGCAAGCGCTTCTAGGCCTATGGCAGAAAAGGAAATATCTTCGTATAAAAACTACACAGAATCATTCTCAGAAAACACTTTGTGATGTGTGTGTTCAACTCACAGAGTTTAACCTTTCTTTAATCGAGCAGTTTGGAAATACACTCTTTGTAAGTCTGCAGCTGGATAATTGTCCCTCTATGAGCCCTTCGTTGGAAACGGGATTTCCTCTTATAATGCTAGACAGAAGAATTCTCAGTCACTTCTTTGTGTTGTGTGTATTCAAGTCACAGAGTTGAACCTTCCTTTACACAGAGCAGTTTTGAAAAACTCTTTCTGTGGAATTTGCAAGTGGAGATTTCAAGCGATTTGAGGCTAATCTTTGAAATGGAAATATCTTCGTGTAAAAACTACACAGAATCATTCTCAGAAACTGCTTTGTTATGTGTGCGTTCAGCTCACAGAGTTCCACCTTTCTCTTCATAGAGCAGTTTGGAAAGACTCTGTCTGTAAAGTCTGCAAGTGATTACTTGGACCCCTTTGAGGACTTCGTTGGAAGCGGGATTTTTTCATTTACTGCTAGACAGAAGAATTCTCAGTAAATCCTTTGTGTTGTGTGTATTCAACTCACAGAGTGGAACCTTCCTTTATTCAGAGCAGTTTTGAAAAACACTTTTTGTGGAATTTGCAAGTGGAGATTTCAAGCGATTTGACGCCAATCTTAGACATGGAAAAATCTTCATATTAAAAGTACACAGAGTCATTCGTAGAAACTAGTTTGTGATGTGTGCCTTCAACTCACAGAGTTTAACTTTTCTTTTCATAGAGCAGTTTGGAAACACTCTGTTTGTAAAGTCTGCAAGTGGATATTTGGACCTCTTTGAGGCCTTCGTTGGAAACGGGATTTCTTCATACAACGCTAGACAGAAGAATTCTCAGTAACTTCTTTGTGTTGTGTGTATTCCACTCACAGAGTTGAACCTTTCTTGAGAGAGAGCAGAGTTGAAACACTCTGTTTGTGGAATTTGCTAGTGCAGATTTCAAACGCTTCGAAGACAGTGATAGAAAAGGATATATCTTCGTATTAAAACTAGACAAAATCATTCTCAACAACTACTTTGTGATGTGTGCGTTCAACTCACACAGTTTAACCTTTCTTTTCTTAGAGCAGTTTGGAAACACTCTGTTTGTAAAGCCTGCAAGTGCTTTTTTGGACTTCATTGAGGCCTTCGTTGGAAACGGGATTTCTTCATATAATGCTAGACAGAAGAATTCTCAGTCAGTTCTTTGTGTTGTGTGTATTCAAGTCACAGAGGTGAACCTTCTTTTAGACAGAGCAGTTTTGAAAAATTCTTTCTGTGGAATTTGCAATTGGAGATTTTAAGCGATTTGAGGCTAATCTTTGAAATGGAAATATCTTCGTGTAAAAACTACACAGAAGCATTCTCAGAAACTGCTTTGTCATCTGTGCGTTCAGTTCACAGAGTTTCACCTTTCTCTTCATAGAGCAGTTTGGAAAGACTCTGTCTTTAAAGTCTGCAAGTGATTAGTTAGACCCCTTTGAGGCCTTCGTTGGAAGCGGGATTTCTCATTTACTGCTAGACAGAAGAATTCTCAGTAAATCCTTTGTGTTGTGTGTATTCAACTCACAGAGTGGAACCTTCCTTTATTCAGAGCAGTTTTGAAACACTCTTTTTGTGGAAATTGCAAGTGGAGATTTCAAGCGAATTCACGCCAATCTTAGACATGGAAACATCTTCGTATTAAAAGTACACAGAGTCATTCGCAGAAACTAGTTTGTGATGTGTGCCTTCAACTCACGGAGTTTAACCTTTCTTTTCATAGAGCAGTTTGGAAACACTCTATTTGTAAAGTCTGCAAGTGGATATTTGGACCTCTTTGAGGCCTTCGTTGGAAACGGGATTTCTTCATATAACGCTAGACAGAAGAATTCTCAGTAACTTCTTTGTGTTGTTTGTATTCAACACACAGATTTGAACCTTCCTTTAGAGAGAGCAGATTTGAAACACTCTGTTTTTGGAATTTGCAAGTGCAGATTTCAAGCGCTTCTAGGCCTATGGCAGAAAAGGAAATATCTTCGTATAAAAACTACACAGAATCATTCTCAACAACTACTTTGTGATGTGTGCAGTTCAGCTCACAGAGTTTAACCTTTCTTTTCATAGAGCAGTTTGGAAACACTCTGTTTGTAAAGTCTGCAGGTGCTTATTTGGACTTCTTTGAGGCCTTCGTTGGAAACGGGATTTCTTCATATAATGCTAGACAGAAGAATTCTCAGTCACTTCTTTGTGTTGTGTGTATTCAAGTCACAGAGTTGAACCTTCCTTTAGACAGAGCAGTTTTGAAAAATTCTTTCTGTGGAGTTTGCAAGTGGAGATTTCAAGCGATTTGAGGCTAATCTTTGAAATGGAAATATCTTCGTGTAAAAACTACACAGAATCATTCTCAGAAACTTCTTTGTTATGTGTGCGTTCAGCTCACAGAGTTCCACCTTTCTTTTCATAGAGCAGTTTGGAAAGACTCTGTCTGTAAAGTCTGCAAGTGATTACTTGGACCCCTTTGAGGACTTCGTTGGAAGCGGGATTTTTTCATTTACTGCTAGACAGAAGAATTCTCAGTAAATCCTTTGTGTTGTGTGTATTCAACTCACAGAGTGGAACCTTCCTTTATTCAGAGCAGTTTTGAAACACTCTTTTTGTGGAATTTGCAAGTGGAGATTTCAAGCGAATTCACGCCAATCTTAGACATGGAAACATCTTCGTATTAAAAGTACACAGAGTCATTCGTAAAAACTAGTTTGTGATGTGTGCCTTCAACTCACAGAGTTTAACCTTTCTTTTCATAGAGCAGTTTGGAAACACTCTATTTGTAAAGTCTGCAAGTGGATATTTGGACCTCTTTGAGGCCTTCGTTGGAAACGGGATTTCTTCATACAACGCTAGACAGAAGAATTCTCAGTAACTTCTTTGTGTTGTTTGTATTCAACTCACAGATTTGAACCTTCCTTTAGAGAGAGCAGATTTGAAACACTCTGTTTTTGGAATTTGCAAGTGCAGATTTCAAGCACTTCTAGGCCTATGGCAGAAAAGGAAATATCTTCGTATAAAAAATACACAGAATCATTCTCAACAACTACTTTGTGATGTGTGCGTTCAACTCACAGAGTTTAACCTTTCTTTTCATAGAGCAGTTTGGAAACACTCTGTTTGTAAAGCCTGCAAGTGCTTTTTTGGACTTCATTGAGGCCTTCGTTGGAAACGGGATTTCTTCATACAACGCTAGACAGAAGAATTCTCAGTCACTTCTTTGTGTTGTGTGTATTCAAGTCACAGAGTTGAACCATCCTTTACACAGAGCAGTTTTGAAAAACTCTTTCTGTGGAATTTGCAAGTGGAGATTTCAAGCGATTTGAGGCTAATCTTTGAAATGGAAATAGCTTCGTGTAAAAACTACACAGAATCATTCTCAGAAACTGCTTTGTCATCTGTGCGTTCAGTTCACAGAGTTTCACCTTTCTCTTCATAGAGCAGTTTGGAAAGACTCTGTCTGTAAAGTCTGCAAGTGATTAGTTAGACCCCTTTGAGGCCTTCGTTGGAAGCGGGATTTCTCATTTACTGCTAGACAGAAGAATTCTCAGTAAATCCTTTGTGTTGTGTGTATTCAACTCACAGAGTGGAACCTTCCTTTATTCAGAGCAGTTTTGAAACACTCTTTTTGTGGAATTTGCAAGTGGAGATTTCAAGCGAATTCACGCCAATCTTAGACATGGAAACATCTTCGTATTAAAAGTACACAGAGTCATTCGCAGAAACTAGTTTGTGATGTGTGCCTTCAACTCACGGAGTTTAACCTTTCTTTTCATAGAGCAGTTTGGAAACACTCTATTTGTAAAGTCTGCAAGTGGATATTTGGACGTCTTTGAGGCCTTCGTTGGAAACGGGATTTCTTCATATAACGCTAGACAGAAGAATTCTCAGTAACTTCTTTGTGTTGTGTGTATTCAACTCACAGAGTTGAACCTTTCTTTAGAGAGAGCAGAGTTGAAACACTCTTTTTGTGGAATTTGCTAGTGCAGATTTCAAACGCTTCGAAGACAGTGATAGAAAAGGATATATCTTCGTATTAAAACTAGGCAAAATCATTCTCAGAAAACACTTTGTGATGTGTGTGTTCAACTCACAGAGTTTAACCTTTCTTTAATCGAGCAGTTTGGAAATACACTCTTTGTAAATCTGCAGGTGGATAATTGGCCCTCTTTGAGCCCTTCATTGGAAACGGGATTTCCTCATATAATGCTAGACAGAAGAATTCTCAGTAACTTCTTTGTGTTGTTTGTATTCAACTCACAGATTTGAACCTTCCTTTAGAGAGAGCAGATTTGAAACACTCTGTTTTTGGAATTTGCAAGTGCAGATTTCAAGCGATTCTAGGCCTATGGCAGAAAAGGAAATATCTTCGTATAAAAACTACACAGAATCATTCTCAACAACTACTTTGTGATGTGTGCGTTCAACTCACAGAGTTTAACCTTTCTTTTCATAGAGCAGTTTGGAAACACTCTGTTTGTAAAGCCTGCAAGTGCTTTTTTGGACTTCATTGAGGCCTTCGTTGGAAACGGGATTTCTTCATATAATGCTAGACAGAAGAATTCTCAGTCACTTCTTTGTGTTGTGTGTATTCAAGTCACAGAGTTGAACCTTCCTTTACACAGAGCAGTTTTGAAAAACTCTTTCTGTGGAATTTGCAAGTGGAGATTTCAAGCGATTTGAGGCTAATCTTTGAAATGGAAATATCTTCGTGTAAAAACTACACAGAATCATTCTCAGAAACTGCTTTGTTATGTGTGCGTTCAGCTCACAGAGTTCCACCTTTCTTTTCATAGAGCAGTTTGGAAAGACTCTGTCTGTAAAGTCTGCAAGTGATTACTTGGACCCCTTTGAGGACTTCGTTGGAAGCGGGATTTTTTCATTTACTGCTAGACAGAAGAATTCTCAGTAAATCATTTGTGTTGCGTTTATTCAACTCACAGAGTGGAACCTTCCTTTATTCAGAGCAGTTTTGAAACACTCTTTTTGTGGAATTTGCAAGTGGAGATTTCAAGCGATTTGACGCCAATCTTAGACATGGAAATATCTTCATATTAAAAGTACACAGAGTCATTCGCAGAAACTAGTTTGTGATGTGTGCCTTCAACTCACAGAGTTTAAGCTTTCTTTTCATAGAGCAGTTTGGAAACACTCTATTTGTAAAGTCTGCAAGTGGATATTTGGACCTCTTTGAGGCCTTCGTTGGAAACGGGATTTCTTCATATAATGCTAGACAGAAGAATTCTCAGTAACTTCTTTGTGTTGTGTGTATTCCACTCACAGAGTTGAACCTTTCTTGAGAGAGAGCAGAGATGAAACACTCTGTTTGTGGAATTTGCTAGTGCAGATTTCAAACGCTTCGAAGACAGTGATAGAAAAGGATATATCTTCGTATTAAAACTAGACAAAATCATTCTCAACAACTACTTTGTGATGTGTGCGTTCAACTCACAAATTTTAACCTTTCTTTTCATAGAGAAGGTTGGAATCACTCTGTTTGTAAAGCCTGCAAGTGCTTTTTTGGACTTCATTGAGGCCTTCTTTGGAAACGGGATTTCTTCATATAATGCTAGACAGAAGAATTCTCAGTCACTTCTTTGTGTTGTGTGTATTCAAGTCACAGAGTTGAACCTTCCTTTAGACAGAGCAGTTTTGAAAAATTCTTTCTGTGGAGTTTGCAAGTGGAGATTTCAAGCGATTTGAGGCTAATCTTTGAAATGGAAATATCTTCGTGTAAAAACTACACAGAATCATTGTCAGAAACTGCTTTGTTATGTGTGCGTTCAGCTCACAGAGTTCCACCTTTCTTTTCATAGAGCAGTTTGGAAAGACTCTGTCTGTAAAGTCTGCAAGTGATTACTTGGACCCCTTTGAGGACTTCGTTGGAAGCGGGATTTTTTCATTTACTGCTAGACAGAAGAATTCTCAGTAAATCCTTTGTGTTGTGTGTATTCAACTCACAGAGTGGAACCTTCCTTTATTCAGAGCAGTTTTGAAACACTCTTTTTGTGGAATTTGCAAGTGGAGATTTCAAGCGATTTGACGCCAATCTTAGACATGGAAATATCTTCATATTAAAAGTACACAGAGTCATTCGCAGAAACTAGTTTGAGATGTGTGCCTTCAACACACGGAGTTTAACCTTTCTTTTCATAGAGCAGTTTGGAAACACTCTATTTGTAAAGTCTGCAAGTGGATATTTGGACCTCTTTGAGGCCTTCGTTGGAAACGGGATTTCTTCATATAACGCTAGACAGAAGAATTCTCAGTAACTTCTTTGTGTTGTTTGTATTCAACTCACAGATTTGAACCTTCCTTTAGAGAGAGCAGATTTGAAACACTCTGTTTTTGGAATATGCAAGTGCAGATTTCAAGCGCTTCTAGGCCTATGGCAGAAAAGGAAATATCTTCGTATAAAAACTACACAGAAATCATTCTCAACAACTACTTTGTGATGTGTGCGTTCAACTCACAGTAGTTTAACCTTTCTTTTCATAGAGCAGTTTGGAAACACTCTGTTTGTAAAGTCTGCAGGTGCTTATTTGGACTTCTTTGAGGCCTTCGTTGGAAACGGGATTTCTTCATGTAATGCTAGACAGAAGAATTCTCAGTCACTTCTTTGTGTTGTGTGTATTCAAGTCACAGAGTTGAACCTTCCTTTACACAGAGCAGTTTTGAAAAACTCTTTCTGTGGAATTTGCAAGTGGAGATTTCAAGCGATTTGAGGCTAATCTTTGAAATGGAAATAGCTTCGTGTAAAAACTACACAGAATCATTCTCAGAAACTGCTTTGTCATCTGTGCGTTCAGTTCACAGAGTTTCACCTTTCTCTTCATAGAGCAGTTTGGAAAGACTCTGTCTGTAAAGTCTGCAAGTGATTAGTTAGACCCCTTTGAGGCCTTCGTTGGAAGCGGGATTTCTCATTTACTGCTAGACAGAAGAATTCTCAGTAAATCCTTTGTGTTGTGTGTATTCAACTCACAGAGTGGAACCTTCCTTTATTCAGAGCAGTTTTGAAACACTCTTTTTGTGGAATTTGCAAGTGGAGATTTCAAGCGAATTCACGCCAATCTTAGACATGGAAACATCTTCGTATTAAAAGTACACAGAGTCATTCGCAGAAACTAGTTTGTGATGTGTGCCTTCAACTCACGGAGTTTAACCTTTCTTTTCATAGAGCAGTTTGGAAACACTCTATTTGTAAAGTCTGCAAGTGGATATTTGGACCTCTTTGAGGCCTTCGTTGGAAACGGGATTTCTTCATATAACGCTAGACAGAAGAATTCTCAGTAACTTCTTTGTGTTGTTTGTATTGAACTCACAGATTTGAACATTCCTTTGGAGAGAGCAGATTTGAAACACTCTGTTTTTGGAATTTGCAAGTGCAGATTGCAAGCGCTTCTAGGCCTATGGCAGAAAAGGAAATATCTTCGTATAAAAACTACACAGAATCATTCTCAACAACTATTTTGTGATGTGTGCGTTCAACTCACAAAGTTTAACCTTTCTTTTCATAGAGCAGTTTGGAAACACTCTGTTTGTAAAGTCTGCAGGTGCTTATTTGGACTTCTTTGAGGCCTTCGTTGGAAACGGGATTTCTTCATATAATGCTAGACACAAGAATTCTCAGTCACTTCTTTGTGTTGTGTGTATTCAAGTCACAGAGTTGAACCTTCCTTTACACAGAGCAGTTTTGAAAAACTCTTTCTGTGGAATTTGCAAGTGGAGATTTCAAGCGATTTGAGGCTAATCTTTGAAATGGAAATATCTTCGTGTAAAAACTACACAGAATCATTCTCAGAAACTGCTTTGTCATCTGTGCGTTCAGTTCACAGAGTTTCACCTTTCTCTTCATAGAGCAGTTTGGAAAGACTCTGTCTGTAAAGTCTGCAAGTGATTAGTTAGACCCCTTTGAGGCCTTCGTTGGAAGTGGGATTTCTCATTTACTGCTAGACAGAAGAATTCTCAGTAAATCCTTTGTGTTGTGTGTATTCAACTCACAGAGTGGAACCTTCCTTTATTCAGAGCAGTTTTGAAAAACACTTTTTGTGGAATTTGCAAGTGGAGATTTCAAGCGATTTGACGCCAATCTTAGACATGGAAATATCTTCATATTAAAAGTACACAGAGTCATTCGTAGAAACTAGTTTGTGATGTGTGCCTTCAACTCACAGAGTTTAACCTTTGTTTTCATAGAGCAGTTTGGAAACACTCTATTTGTAAAGTCTGCAAGTGGATATTTTGACCTCTTTGAGGCCTTCGTTGGAAACGGGATTTCTTCATACAACGCTAGACAGAAGAATTCTCAGTAACTTCTTTGTGTTGTTTGTATTCAACTCACAGATTTGAACCTTCCTTTAGAGAGAGCAGATTTGAAACACTCTGTTTTTGGAATTTGCAAGTGCAGATTTCAAGCGCTTCTAGGCCTATGGCAGAAAAGGAAATATCTTCGTATAAAAACTACACAGAATCATTCTCAACAACTACTTTGTGATGTGTGCGTTCAACTCACAGAGTTTAACCTTTCTTTTCATATAGCAGTTTGGAAACACTCTGTTTGTAAAGCCTGCAAGTGCTTTTTTGGACTTCATTGAGGCCTTCGTTGGAAACGGGATTTCTTCATACAACGCTAGACAGAAGAATTCTCAGTCACTTCTTTGTGTTGTGTGTATTCAAGTCACAGAGTTGAACCATCCTTTACACAGAGCAGTTTTGAAAAACTCTTTCTGTGGAATTTGCAAGTGGAGATTTCAAGCGATTTGAGGCTAATCTTTGAAATGGAAATAGCTTCGTGTAAAAACTACACAGAATCATTCTCAGAAACTGCTTTGTTATGTGTGCGTTCAGCTCACAGAGTTCCACCTTTCTTTTCATAGAGCAGTTTGGAAAGACTCTGTCTGTAAAGTCTGCAAGTGATTACTTGGACCCCTTTGAGGACTTCGTTGGAAGCGGGATTTTTTCATTTACTGCTAGACAGAAGAATTCTCAGTAAATCCTTTGTGTTGTGTGTATTCAACTCACAGAGTGGAACCTTCCTTTATTCAGAGCAGTTTTGAAACACTCTTTTGGTGGAATTTGCAAGTGGAGATTTCAAGGGAATTCACGCCAATCTTAGACATGGAAACATCTTCGTATTAAAAGTACACAGAGTCATTCGTAGAAACTAGTTTGTGATGTGTGCCTTCAACTCACAGAGTTTAACCTTTCTTTTCATAGAGCAGTTTGGAAACACTCTATTTGTAAAGTCTGCAACTGGATATCTGGACCTCTTTTAGGCCTTCGTTGGAAACGGGATTTCTTCATACAACGCTAGACAGAAGAATTCTCAGTAACTTCTTTGTGTTGTGTGTATTCAACTCACAGAGTTGAAGCTTTCTTTAGAGAGAGCAGAGTTGAAACACTCTGTTTTTGGAATTTGCAAGTGCAGATTTCAAGCGATTCTAGGCCTATGGCAGAAAAGGAAATATCTTCGTATAAAAACTACACAGAATCATTCTCAACAACGACTTTGTGATGTGTGCGTTCAACTCACAGAGTTTAACCTTTCTTTTCATAGAGCAGTTTGGAAACACTCTGTTTGTAAAGCCTGCAAGTGCTTTTTTGGACTTCATTGAGGCCTTCGTTGGAAACGGGATTTCTTCATGTAATGCTAGACAGAAGAATTCTCAGTCACTTCTTTGTGTTGTGTGTATTCAAGTCACAGAGTTGAACCTTCCTTTACACAGAGCAGTTTTGAAAAACTCTTTCTGTGGAATTTGCAAGTGGAGATTTCAAGCGATTTGAGGCTAATCTTTGGAATGGAAATAGCTTCGTGTAAAAACTACACAGAAATCATTCTCAGAAACTGCTTTGTTATGTGTGCGTTCAGCTCACAGAGTTCCACCTTTCTTTTCATAGAGCAGTTTGGAAAGACTCTGTCTGTAAAGTCTGCAAGTGATTACTTGGACCCCTTTGAGGACTTCGTTGGAAGCAGGATTTTTTCATTTACTGCTAGACAGAAGAATTCTCAGTAAATCCTTTGTGTTGTGTGTATTCAACTCACAGAGTGGAACCTTCCTTTATTCAGAGCAGTTTTGAAACACTCTTTTTGTGGAATTTGCAAGTGGAGATTTCAAGCGAATTCACGCCAATCTTAGACATGGAAACATCTTCGTATTAAAAGTACACAGAGTCATTCGTAGAAACTAGTTTGTGATGTGTGCCTTCAACTCACAGAGTTTAACCTTTCTTTTCATAGAGCAGTTTGGAAACACTCTATTTGTAAAGTCTGCAAGTGGATATTTGGACCTCTTTGAGGCCTTCGTTGGAAACGGGATTTCTTCATACAACGCTAGACAGAAGAATTCTCAGTAACTTCTTTGTGTTGTGTGTATTCCACTCACAGAGTTGAACCTTTCTTGAGAGAGAGCAGAGTTGAAACACTCTTTCTGTGGAATTTGCTAGTGCAGATTTCAAACGCTTCGAAGACAGTGATAGAAAAGGATATATCTTCGTATTAAAACTAGACAAAATCATTCTCAGAAACTACTTTGTGATGTGTGCCTTCAACTCACAGAGTTTAACCTTTCTTTTCTTAGAGCAGTTTAGAAACACTCTGCTTGTAAAGTCTGCAGGTGCTTATTTGGACTTCTTTGAGGCCTTCGTTGGAAACGGGATTTCTTCATATAATGCTAGACAGAAGAATTCTCAGTCACTTCTTTGTGTTGTGTGTATTCAAGTCACAGAGTTGAACCTTCCTTTACACAGAGCAGTTTTGAAAAACTCTTTCTGTGGAATTTGCAAGTGGAGATTTCAAGCGATTTGAGGCTAATCTTTGAAATGGAAATATCTTCGTGTAAAAACTACACAGAATCATTGTCAGAAACTGCTTTGTTATGTGTGCGTTCAGCTCACAGAGTTCCACCTTTCTTTTCATAGAGCAGTTTGGAAAGACTCTGTCTGTAAAGTCTGCAAGTGATTACTTGGACCCCTTTGAGGACTTCGTTGGAAGCGGGATTTTTTCATTTACTGCTAGACAGAAGAATTCTCAGTAAATCCTTTGTGTTGTGTGTATTCAACTCACAGAGTGGAACCTTCCTTTATTCAGAGCAGTTTTGAAAAACACTTTTTGTGGAATTTGCAAGTGGAGATTTCAAGCGATTTGACGCCAATCTTAGACATGGAAATATCTTCATATTAAAAGTACACAGAGTCATTTGCAGAAACTAGTTTGTGATGTGTGCCTTCAACTCACGGAGTTTAACCTTTCTTTTCATAGAGCAGTTTGGAAACACTCTATTTGTAAAGTCTGCAAGTGGATATTTGGACCTCTTTGAGGCCTTCGTTGGAAACGGGATTTCTTCATATAACGCTAGACAGAAGAATTCTCAGTAACTTCTTTGTGTTGTTTGTATTCAACACACAGGATTTGAACCTTCCTTTAGAGAGAGCAGATTTGAAACACTCTGTTTTTGGAATTTGCAAGTGCAGATTTCAAGCGCTTCTAGGCCTATGGCAGAAAAGGAAATATCTTCGTATAAAAACTACACAGAATCATTCTCAACAACTACTTTGTGATGTGTGCGTTCAACTCACAGAGTTTAACCTTTCTTTTCATAGAGCAGTTTGGAAACACTCTGTTTGTAAAGTCTGCAGGTGCTTATTTGGACTTCTTTGAGGCTTTCGTTGGAAATGGGATTTCTTCATATAATGCTAGACAGTAGAATTCTCAGTCACTTCTTTGTGTTGTGTGTATTCAAGTCACAGAGTTGAACCTTCCTTTAGACAGAGCAGTTTTGAAAAATTCTTTCTGTGGAGTTTGCAAGTGGAGATTTCAAGCGATTTGAGGCTAATCTTTGAAATGGAAATATCTTCGTGTAAAAACTACACAGAATCATTCTCAGAAACTGCTTTGTTATGTGTGCGTTCAGCTCGCAGAGTTCCACCTTTCTTTTCATAGAGCAGTTTGGAAAGACTCTGTCTGTAAAGTCTGCAAGTGATTACTTGGACCCCTTTGAGGACTTCGTTGGAAGCGGGATTTTTTCATTTACTGCTAGACAGAAGAATTCTCAGTAAATCCTTTGTATTGTGTGTATTCAACTCACAGAGTGGAACCTTCCTTTATTCAGAGCAGTTTTGAAACACTCTTTTTGTGGAATTTGCAAGTGGAGATTTCAAGCGAATTCACGCCAATCTTAGACATGGAAACATCTTCGTATTAAAAGTACACAGAGTCATTCGCAGAAACTAGTTTGTGATGTGTGCCTTCAACTCACGGAGTTTAACCTTTCTTTTCATAGAGCAGTTTGGAAACACTCTATTTGTAAAGTCTGCAAGTGGATATTTGGACCTCTTTGAGGCCTTCGTTGGAAACGGGATTTCTTCATATAACGCTAGACAGAAGAATTCTCAGTAACTTCTTTGTGTTGTGTGTATTCCACTCACAGAGTTGAACCTTTTCTTGAGAGAGAGCAGAGTTGAAACACTCTGTTTGTGGAATTTGCTAGTGCAGATTTCAAACGCTTCGAAGACAGTGATAGAAAAGGATATATCTTCGTATTAAAACTAGACAAAATCATTCTCAACAACTACTTTGTGATGTGTGCGTTCAACTCACAGAGTTTAACCTTTCTTTTCATAGAGCAGTTTGGAAACACTCTGTTTGTAAAGTCTGCAGGTGCTTATTTGGACTTCTTTGAAGCCTTCGTTGGAAACGGGATTTCTTCATATAATGCTAGACAGAAGAATTCTCAGTAACTTCTTTGTGTTGTGTGTATTCAACTCACAGAGTTGAACCTTCCTTTAGACAGAGCAGTTTTGAAAAATTCTTTCTGTGTAATTTGCAAGTGGAGATTTCAAGCGATTTGAGGCTAATCTTTGAAATGGAAATATCTTCGTGTAAAAACTACACAGAATCATTGTCAGAAACTGCTTTGTTATGTGTGCGTTCAGCTCACAGAGTTCCACCTTTCTTTTCATAGAGCAGTTTGGAAAGACTCTGTAAAGTCTGCAAGTGATTACTTGGACCCCTTTGAGGACTTCATTGGAAGCGGGATTTTTTCATTTACTGCTAGACAGAAGAATTCTCAGTAAATCCTTTGTGTTGTGTGTATTCAACTCACAGAGTGGAACCTTCCTTTATTCAGAGCAGTTTTGAAACACTCTTTTTGTGGAATTTGCAAGTGGAGATTTCAAGCGATTTGACGCCAATCTTAGACATGGAAATATCTTCATATTAAAAGTACACAGAGTCATTCGCAGAAACTAGTTTGTGATGTGTGCCTTCAACTCACGGAGTTTAACCTTTCTTTTCATAGAGCAGTTTGGAAACACTCTATTTGTAAAGTCTGCAAGTGGATATTTGGACCTCTTTGAGGCCTTCGTTGGAAACGGGATTTCTTCATATAACGCTAGACAGAAGAATTCTCAGTAACTTCTTTGTGTTGTTTGTATTCAACTCACAGATTTGAACCTTCCTTTAGAGAGAGCAGATTTGAAACACTCTGTTTTTGGAATTTGCAAGTGCAGATTACAAGCGCTTCTAGGCCTATGGCAGAAAAGGAAATATCTTCGTATAAAAACTACACAGAATCATTCTCAACAACTACTTTTTGATGTGTGCGTTCACCTCACAGAGCTTAACCTTTCTTTTCATAGAGCAGTTTGGAAACACTCTGTTTGTAAAGTCTGCAGGTGCTTATTTGGACTTCTTTGAGGCCTTCGTTGGAAACGGGATTTCTTCATATAATGCTAGACAGAAGAATTCTCAGTCACTTCTTTGTGTTGTGTGTATTCAAGTCACAGAGTTGAACCTTCCTTTAGACAGAGTAGTTTTGAAAAATTCTTTCTGTGGAGTTTGCAAGTGGAGATTTCAAGCGATTTGAGGCTAATCTTTGAAATGGAAATATCCTTCGTGTAAAAACTATACAGAAATCATTCTCAGAAACTGCTTTGTTATATGTGCGTTCAGTTCACAGAGTTTAACCTTTCTCTTCAGAGAGCAGTTTGGAAAGACTCTGTCTGTAAAGTCCGCAAGTGATTAGTTAGACCCCTTTGAGGCCTTCGTTGGAAGCGGGATTTCCCATTTACTGCTAGACAGAAGAATTCTCAGTAAATCCTTTGTGTTGTGTGTATTCAACTCACAGAGTGGAACCTTCCTTTATTCAGAGCAGTTTTGAAACACTCTTTTTGTGGAATTTGCAAGTGGAGATTTCAAGCGATTTGACGCCAATCTTAGACATGGAAATATCTTCATATTAAAAGTACACAGAGTCATTTGCAGAAACTAGTTTGTGATGTGTGCCTTCAACTCACGGAGTTTAACCTTTCTTTTCATAGAGCAGTTTGGAAACACTCTATTTGTAAAGTCTGCAAGTGGATATTTGGACCTCTTTGAGGCCTTCGTTGGAAACGGGATTTCTTCATATAACGCTAGACAGAAGAATTCTCAGTAACTTCTTTGTGTTGTGTGTATTCCACTCACAGTAGTTGAACCTTTCTTGAGAGAGAGCAGAGTTGAAACACTCTGTTTGTGGAATTTGCTAGTGCAGATTTCAAACGCTTCGAAGACAGTGATAGAAAAGGATATATCTTCGTATTAAAACTAGACAAAATCATTCTCAGAAAACACTTTGTGATGTGTGTGTTCAACTCACAGAGTTTAACCTTTCTTTAATCGAGCAGTTTGGAAATACACTCTTTGTAAGTCTGCAGCTGGATAATTGTCCCTCTATGAGCCCTTCGTTGGAAACGGGATTTCCTCTTATAATGCTAGACAGAAGAATTCTCAGTCACTTCTTTGTGTTGTGTGTATTCAAGTCACAGAGTTGAACCTTCCTTTACACAGAGCAGTTTTGAAAAACTCTTTCTGTGGAATTTGCAAGTGGAGATTTCAAGCGATTTGAGGCTAATCTTTGAAATGGAAATAGCTTCGTGTAAAAACTACACAGAATCATTCTCAGAAACTGCTTTGTTATGTGTGCGTTCAGCTCACAGAGTTCCACCTTTCTTTTCATAGAGCAGTTTGGAAAGACTCTGTCTGTAAAGTCTGCAAGTGATTACTTGGACCCCTTTGAGGACTTCGTTGGAAGCGGGATTTTTTCATTTACTGCTAGACAGAAGAATTCTCAGTAAATCCTTTGTGTTGTGTGTATTCAACTCACAGAGTGGAACCTTCCTTTATTCAGAGCAGTTTTGAAAAACACTTTTTGTGGAATTTGCAAGTGGAGATTTCAAGCGATTTGACGCCAATCTTAGACATGGAAATATCTTCATATTAAAAGTACACAGAGTCATTCGTAGAAACTAGTTTGTGATGTGTGCCTTCAACTCACAGAGTTTAACCTTTCTTTTCATAGAGCAGTTGGGAAACACTCTATTTGTAAAGTCTGCAAGTGGATATTTGGACCTCTTTGAGGCCTTCGTTGGAAACGGGATTTCTTCATATAACGCTAGACAGAAGAATTCTCAGTAACTTCTTTGTGTTGTGTGTATTCAACTCACAGAGTTGAACCTTTCTTTAGAGGGAGCAGAGGTGAAACACTCTTTTTGTGGAATTTGCTAGTGTAGATTTCAAACGCTTCGAAGACAGTGATAGAAAAGGATATATCTTCGTATTAAAAGTAGACAAAATCATTCTCAACAACTACTTTGTGATGTGTGCGTTCAACTCACAGAGTTTAACCTTTCTTTTCATAGAGCAGTTTGGAAACACTCTGTTTGTAAAGTCTGCAGGTGCTTATTTGGACTTCTTTGAGGCCTTCGTTGGAAACGGGATTTCTTCATGTAATGCTAGACAGAAGAATTCTCAGTCACTTCTTTGTGTTGTGTGTATTCAAGTCACAGAGTTGAACCTTCCTTTACACAGTGCAGTTTTGAAAAACTCTTTCTGTGGAATTTGCAAGTGGAGATTTCAAGCGATTTGAGGCTAATCTTTGAAATGGAAATAGCTTCGTGTAAAAACTACACAGAATCATTCTCAGAAACTTCTTTGTTATGTGTGCGTTCATTTCACAGAGTTCCACCTTTCTTTTCATAGAGCAGTTTGGAAAGACTCTGTCTGTAAAGTCTGCAAGTGATTACTTGGACCCCTTTGAGGACTTCGTTGGAAGCGGGATTTTTTCATTTACTGCTAGACAGAAGAATTCTCAGTAAATCCTTTGTGTTGTGTGTATTCAACTCACAGAGTGGAACCTTCCTTTATTCAGAGCAGTTTTGAAACACTCTTTTTGTGGAATTTGCAAGTGGAGATTTCAAGCGAATTCACGCCCATCTTAGACATGGAAACATCTTCGTATTAAAAGTACACAGAGTCATTCGTAGAAACTAGTTTGTGATGTGTGCCTTCAACTCACAGAGTTTAACCTTTCTTTTCATAGAGCAGTTTGGAAACACTCTATTTGTAAAGTCTGCAAGTGGATATTTGGACCTCTTTGAGGCCTTCGTTGGAAACGGGATTTCCTCATATAATGCTAGACAGAAGAATTCTCAGTAACTTCTTTGTGTTGTGTGTATTCCACTCACAGAGTTGAACCTTTCTTGAGAGAGAGCAGAGTTGAAACACTCTGTTTGTGGAATTTGCTAGTGCAGATTTCAAACGCTTCGAAGACAGTGATAGAAAAGGATATATCTTCGTATTAAAACTAGACAAAATCATTCTCAACAACTACTTTGTGATGTGTGCGTTCAACTCACAGAGTTTAACCTTTCTTTTCATAGAGCAGTTTGGAAACACTCTGTTTGTAAAGTCTGCAGGTGCTTATTTGGACTTCTTTGAGGCCTTCGTTGGAAACGGGATTTCTTCATATAATGCTAGACAGAAGAATTCTCAGTCACTTCTTTGTGTTGTGTGTATTCAAGTCACAGAGTTGAACCTTCCTTTAGACAGAGCAGTTTTGAAAAATTCTTTCTGTGGAGTTTGCAAGTGGAGATTTCAAGCGATTTGAGGCTAATCTTTGAAATGGAAATATCTTCGTGTAAAAACTACACAGAATCATTCTCAGAAACTGCTTTGTCATCTGTGCGTTCAGTTCACAGAGTTTCACCTTTCTCTTCATAGAGCAGTTTGGAAAGACTCTGTCTGTTAAGTCTGCAAGTGATTAGTTAGACCCCTTTGAGGGCTTCGTTGGAAGCGGGATTTCTCATTCACTGCTAGACAGAAGAATTCTCAGTAAATCCTTTGTGTTGTGTGTATTCAACTCACAGAGTGGAACCTTCCTTTATTCAGAGCACTTTTGAAACACTCTTTTTGTGGAATTTGCAAGTGGAGATTTCAAGCGAATTCACGCCAATCTTAGACATGGAAACATCTTCGTATTAAAAGTACACAGAGTCATTCGTAGAAACTAGTTTGTGATGTGTGCCTTCAACTCACAGAGTTTAACCTTTCTTTTCATAGAGCAGTTGGGAAACACTCTATTTGTAAAGTCTGCAAGTGGATATTTGGACCTCTTTGAGGCATTCTTTGGAAACGGGATTTCTTCATATAACCCTAGACAGAAGAATTCTCAGTAACTTCTTTGTGTTGTGTGTATTCCACTCACAGAGTTGAACCTTTCTTGAGAGAGAGCAGAGTTGAAACACTCTGTTTGTGGAATTTGCTAGTGCAGATTTCAAACGCTTCGAAGACAGTGATAGAAAAGGATATATCTTCGTATTAAAACTAGACAAAATCATTCTCAACAACTACTTTGTGATGTGTGCGTTCAACTCACAGAGTTTAACCTTTCTTTTCATAGAGCAGTTTGGAAACACTCTGTTTGTAAAGCCTGCAAGTGCTTTTTTGGACTTCATTGAGGCCTTCGTTGGAAACGGGATTTCTTCATATAATGCTAGACAGAAGAATTCTCAGTCACTTCTTTGTGTTGTGTGTATTCAAGTCACAGAGTTGAACCTTCCTTTAGACAGAGCAGTTTTGAAAAATTCTTTCTGTGGAATTTGCAAGTGGAGATTTCAAGCGATTTGAGGCTAATCTTTGAAATGGAAATATCTTCGTGTAAAAACTACACAGAATCATTGTCAGAAACTGCTTTGTTATGTGTGCGTTCAGCTCACAGAGTTCCACCTTTCTTTTCATAGAGCAGTTTGGAAAGACTCTGTCTGTAAAGTCTGCAAGTGATTACTTGGACCCCTTTGAGGACTTCGTTGGAAGCGGGATTTTTTCATTTACTGCTAGACAGAAGAATTCTCAGTAAATCCTTTGTGTTGTGTGTATTCAACTCACAGAGTGGAACCTTCCTTTATTCAGAGCAGTTTTGAAACACTCTTTTTGTGGAATTTGCAAGTGGAGATTTCAAGCGATTTGACGCCAATCTTAGACATGGAAATATCTTCATATTAAAAGTACACAGAGTCATTCGTAGAAACTAGTTTGTGATGTGTGCCTTCAACTCACAGAGTTTAACCTTTCTTTTCATAGAGTAGTTTGGAAACACTCTATTTGTAAAGTCTGCAAGTGGATATTTGGACCTCTTTGAGGCCTTCGTTCGAAAAGGGATTTCTTCATACAACGCTAGACAGAAGAATTCTCAGTAACTTCTTTGTGTTGTTTGTATTCAACACACAGATTTGAACCTTCCTTTAGAGAGAGCAGATTTGAAACACTCTGTTTTTGGAATTTGCAAGGGCAGATTTCAAGCGCTTCTAGGCCTATGGCAGAAAAGGAAATATCTTCGTATAAAAACTACACAGAATCATTCTCAACAACTACTTTGTGATGTGTGCGTTCAACTCACAGAGTTTAACCTTTCTTTTCATAGAGCAGTTTGGAAACACTCTGTTTGTAAAGCCTGCAAGTGCTTTTTTGGACTTCATTGAGGCCTTCGTTGGAAACGGGATTTCTTCATACAATGCTAGACAGAAGAATTCTCAGTAAATTCTTTGTGTTGTGTGTATTCAACTCACAGAGTTGAACCTTTCTTTAGAGAGAGCAGAGTTGAAACCCTCTGTTTTTGGAATTTGCAAGTGCAGATTTCAAGCGATTCTAGGCCTATGGCAGAAAAGGAAATATCTTCGTATAAAAACTACACAGAATCATTCTCAACAACTACTTTGTGATGTGTGCGTTCAACTCACAGAGTTTAACCTTTCTTTTCATAGAGCAGTTTGGAAACACTCTGTTTGTAAAGCCTGCAAGTGCTTTTTTGGACTTCATTGAGGCCTTCGTTGGAAACGGGATTTCTTCATATAATGCTAGACAGAAGAATTCTCAGTCACTTCTTTGTGTTGTGTGTATTCAAGTCACAGAGTTGAACCTTCCTTTAGACAGAGCAGTTTTGAAAAATTCTTTCTGTGGAATTTGCAAGTGGAGATTTCAAGCGATTTGAGGCTAATCTTTGAAATGGAAATATCTTCGTGTAAAAACTACACAGAATCATTCTCAGAAACTGCTTTGTCATCTGTGCGTTCAGTTCACAGAGTTTCACCTTTCTCTTCATAGAGCAGTTTGGAAAGACTCTGTCTGTAAAGTCTGCAAGTGATTAGTTAGACCCCTTTGAGGCCTTCGTTGGAAGTGGGATTTCTCATTTACTGCTAGACAGAAGAATTCTCAGTAAATCCTTTGTGTTGTGTGTATTCAACTCACAGAGTGGAACCTTCCTTTATTCAGAGCAGTTTTGAAACACTCTTTTTGTGGAATTTGCAAGTGGAGATTTCAAGCGATTTGACGCCAATCTTAGACATGGAAATATCTTCATATTAAAAGTACACAGAGTCATTCGCAGAAACTAGTTTGTGATGTGTGCCTTCAACTCACAGAGTTTAACCTTTCTTTTCATAGAGCAGTTTGGAAACACTCTATTTGTAAAGTCTGCAAGTGGATATTTGGACCTCTTTGAGGCCTTCGTTGGAAACGGGATTTCTTCATATAACGCTAGACAGAAGAATTCTCAGTAACTTCTTTGTGTTGTTTGTATTCAACACACAGATTTGAACCTTCCTTTAGAGAGAGCAGATTTGAAACACTCTGTTTTTGGAATTTGCAAGTGCAGATTTCAAGCGCTTCTAGGCCTATGGCAGAAAAGGAAATATCTTCGTATAAAAACTACACAGAATCATTCTCAACAACTACTTTGTGATGTGTGCGTTCAACTCACAGAGTTTAACCTTTCTTTTCATAGAGCAGTTTGGAAACACTCTGTTTGTAAAGTCTGCAGGTGCTTATTTGGACTTCTTTGAGGCCTTCGTTGGAAACGGGATTTCTTCATGTAATGCTAGACAGAAGAATTCTCAGTCACTTCTTTGTGTTGTGTGTATTCAAGTCACAGAGCTGAACCTTCCTTTACACAGAGCAGTTTTGAAAAACTCTTTCTGTGGAATTTGCAAGTGGAGATTTCAAGCGATTTGAGGCTAATCTTTGAAATGGAAATATCTTCGTGTAAAAACTACACAGAATCATTCTCAGAAACTGCTTTGTTATGTGCGTTCAGCTCACAGAGTTCCACCTTTCTTTTCATAGAGCAGTTTGGAAAGACTCTGTCTGTAAAGTCTGCAAGTGATTACTTGGACCCCTTTGAGGACTTCGTTGGAAGCGGGATTTTTTCATTTACTGCTAGACAGAAGAATTCTCAGTAAATCCTTTGTGTTGTGTGTATTCAACTCACAGAGTGGAACCTTCCTTTATTCAGAGCAGTTTTGAAACACTCTTTTTGTGGAATTTGCAAGTGGAGATTTCAAGCGAATTCACGCCAATCTTAGACATGGAAACATCTTCGTATTAAAAGTACACAGAGTCATTCGTAGAAACTATGTTGTGATGTGTGCCTTCAACTCACAGAGTTTAACCTTTCTTTTCATAGAGCAGTTCGGAAACACTCTATTTGTAAAGGCTGCAAGTGGATATTTGGACCTCTTTGAGGCCATCGTTGGAAACGGGATTTCTTCATATAACGCTAGACAGAAGAATTTTCAGTAACTTCTTTGTGTTGTGTGTATTCAACTCACAGAGTTCAACTTTTCTTTAGAGAGAGCAGAGTTGAAACACTCTTTTTGTGGAATTTGCTAGTGCAGATTTCAAACGCTTCGAAGACTGTGATAGAAAAGGATATATCTTCGTATTAAAACTAGACAAAATCATTCTCAGAAAACACTTTGTGATGTGTGTGTTCAACTCACAGAGTTTAACCTTTCTTTAATCGAGCAGTTTGGAAATACACTCTTTGTAAGTCTGCAGCTGGATAATTGTCCCTCTATGAGCCCTTCGTTGGAAACGGGATTTCCTCTTATAATGCTAGACAGAAGAATTCTCAGTCACTTCTTTGTGTTGTGTGTATTCAAGTCACAGAGTTGAACCTTCCTTTACACAGAGCAGTTTTGAAAAACTCTTCCTGTGGAATTTGCAAGTGGAGATTTCAAGCGATTTGAGGCTAATCTTTGAAATGGAAATATCTTCGTGTAAAAACTACACAGAATCATTCTCAGAAACTGCTTTGTCATCTGTGCGTTCAGTTCACAGAGTTTCACCTTTCTCTTCATAGAGCAGTTTGGAAAGACTCTGTCTGTAAAGTCTGCAAGTGATTAGTTAGACCCCTTTGAGGCCTTCGTTGGAAGCGGGATTTCTCATTTACTGCTAGACAGAAGAATTCTCAGTAAATCCTTTGTGTTGTGTGTATTCAACTCACAGAAGTGGAACCTTCCTTTATTCAGAGCAGTTTTGAAAAACACTTTTTGTGGAATTTGCAAGTGGAGATTTCAAGCGATTTGACGTCAATCTTAGACATGGAAATATCTTCATATTAAAAGTACACAGAGTCATTCGTAGAAACTAGTTTGTGATGTGTGCCTTCAACTGACAGAGCTTAACCTTTCTTTTCATAGAGCAGTTCGGAAACACTCTATTTGTAAAGTCTGCATGTGGATATTTGGACCTCTTTGAGGCCTTCGTTGGAAACGGGATTTCTTCATATAACGCTAGACAGAAGAATTCTCAGTAACTGCTTTGTGTTGTTTGTATTCAACTCACAGATTTGAACCTTCCTTTGGAGAGAGCAGATTTGAAACACTCTGTTTTTGGAATTTGCAAGTGCAGATTGCAAGCGCTTCTAGGCCTATGGCAGAAAATTAAATATCTTCGTATAAAAACTACACAGAATCATTCTCAACAACTACTTTGTGATGTGTGCGTTCAACTCACAGAGTTTAACCTTTCTTTTCATAGAGCAGTTTGGAAACACTCTGTTTGTAAAGTCTGCAGGTGCTTATTTGGACTTCTTTGAGGCCTTCGTTGGAAACGGGATTTCTTCATATAATGCTAGACAGAAGAATTCTCAGTCACTTCTTTGTGTTGTGTGTATTCAAGTCACAGAGTTGAACCTTCCTTTAGACAGAGCAGTTTTGAAAAATTCTTTCTGTGGAGTTTGCAAGTGGAGATTTCAAGCGATTTGAGGCTAATCTTTGAAATGGAAATATCTTCGTGTAAAAACTACACAGAATCATTCTCAGAAACTGCTTTGTCATCTGTGCGTTCAGTTCACAGAGTTTCACCTTTCTCTTCATAGAGCAGTTTGGAAAGACTCTGTCTGTAAAGTCTGCAAGTGATTAGTTAGACCCCTTTGAGGCCTTCGTTGGAAGCGGGATTTCTCATTTACTGCTAGACAGAAGAATTCTCAGTAAATCCTTTGTGTTGTGTGTATTCAACTCACAGAGTGGAACCTTCCTTTATTCAGAGCAGTTTTGAAACACTCTTTTTGTGGAATTTGCAAGTGGAGATTTCAAGCGAATTCACGCCAATCTTAGACATGGAAACATCTTCGTATTAAAAGTACACAGAGTCATTCGCAGAAACTAGTTTGTGATGTGTGCCTTCAACTCACGGAGTTTAACCTTTCTTTTCATAGAGCAGTTTGGAAACACTCTATTTGTAAAGTCTGCAAGTGGATATTTGGACCTCTTTGAGGCCTTCGTTGGAAACGGGATTTCTTCATATAACGCTAGACAGAAGAATTCTCAGTAACTTCTTTGTGTTGTGTGTATTCCACTCACAGAGTTGAACCTTTCTTGAGAGAGAGCAGAGTTGAAAGACTCTTTTTGTGGAATTTGCTAGTGCAGATTTCAAACGCTTCGAAGACAGTGATAGAAAAGGATATATCTTCGTATTAAAACTAGACAAAAATCATTCTCAACAACTACTTTGTGATGTGTGCGTTCAACTCACAGAGTTTAACCTTTCTTTTCATAGAGCAGTTTGGAAACACTCTGTTTGTAAAGCCTGCAAGTGCCTTTTTGGACTTCATTGAGGCCTTCGTTGGAAACGGGATTTCTTCATATAATGCTAGACAGAAGAATTCTCAGTCACTTCTTTGTGTTGTGTGTATTCAAGTCACAGAGTTGAACCTTCCTTTAGACAGAGCAGTTTTGAAAAATTCTTTCTGTGTAATTTGCAAGTGGAGATTTCAAGCGATTTGAGGCTAATCTTTGAAATGGAAATATCTTCGTGTAAAAACTACACAGAAGCATTCTCAGAAACTGCTTTGTCATCTGTGCGTTCAGTTCACAGAGTTTCACCTTTCTCTTCATAGAGCAGTTTGGAAAGACTCTGTCTCTAAAGTCTGCAAGTGATTAGTTAGACCCCTTTGAGGCCTTCGTTGGAAGCGGGATTTCTCATTTACTGCTAGAAAGAAGAATTCTCAGTAAATCCTTTGTGTTGTGTGTATTCAACTCACAGAGTGGAACCTTCCTTTATTCAGAGCAGTTTTGAAACACTCTTCTTGTGGAATTTGCAAGTGGAGATTTCAAGCGATTTGACGCCAATCTTAGACATGGAAATATCTTCATATTAAAAGTACACAGAGTCATTCGCAGAAACTAGTTTGTGATGTGTGCCTTCAACTCACGGAGTTTAACCTTTCTTTTCATAGAGCAGTTTGGAAACACTCTATTTGTAAAGTCTGCAAGTGGATATTTGGACCTACTTTGAGGCCTTCGTTGGAAACGGGATTTCTTCATATAACGCTAGACAGAAGAATTCTCAGTAACTTCTTTGTGTTGTGTGTATTCCACTCACAGAGTTGAAGCTTCCTTGAGAGAGAGCAGAGTTGAAACACTCTGTTTGTGGAATTTGCTAGTGCAGATTTCAAACGCTTCGAAGACAGTGATAGAAAAGGATATATCTTCGTATTAAAACTAGACAAAATCATTCTCAGAAAACACTTTGTGATGTGTGTGTTCAACTCACAGAGTTTAACCTTTCTTTAATCGAGCAGTTTGGAAATACACTCTTTGTAAGTCTGCAGCTGGATAATTGTCCCTCTATGAGCCCTTCGTTGGAAACGGGATTTCCTCATATAATGCTAGACAGAAGAATTCTCAGTCACTTCTTTGTGTTGTGTGTATTCAAGTCACAGAGTTGAACCTTCCTTTAGACAGAGCAGTTTTGAAAAATTCTTTCTGTGGAGTTTGCAAGTGGAGATTTCAAGCGATTTGAGGCTAATCTTTGAAATGGAAATATCTTCGTGTAAAAACTACACAGAATCATTCTCAGAAACTGCTTTGTCATCTGTGCGTTCAGTTCACAGAGTTTCACCTTTCTCTTCATAGAGCAGTTTGGAAAGACTCTGTCTGTAAAGTCTGCAAGTGATTAGTTAGACCCCTTTGAGGCCTTCGTTGGAAGCGGGATTTCTCATTTACTGCTAGACAGAAGAATTCTCAGTAAATCCTTTGTGTTGTGTGTATTCAACTCACAGAGTGGAACCTTCCTTTATTCAGAGCAGTTTTGAAACACTCTTTTTGTGGAATTTGCAAGTGGAGATTTCAAGCGAATTCACGCCAATCTTAGACATGGAAACATCTTCGTATTAAAAGTACACAGACTCATTCGCAGAAACTAGTTTGTGATGTGTGCCTTCAACTCACAGAGTTTAACCTTTCTTTTCATAGAGCAGTTTGGAAACACTCTATTTGTAAAGTCTGCAAGTGGATATTTGGACCTCTTTGAGGCCTTCGTTGGAAACGGGATTTCTTCATATAACGCTAGACAGAAGAATTCTCAGTAACTTCTTTGTGTTGTGTGTATTCAACTCACAGAGTTGAACCTTTCTTGAGAGAGAGCAGAGTTGAAACACTCTTTTTGTGGAATTTGCTAGTGCAGATTTCAAACGCTTCGAAGACAGTGATAGAAAAGGATATATCTTCGTATTAAAACTAGACAAAATCATTCTCAACAACTACTTTGTGATGTGTGCGTTCAACTCACAGAGTTTAACCTTTCTTTTCATAGAGCAGTTTGGAAACACTCTGTTTGTAAAGCCTGCAAGTGCTTTTTTGGACTTCATTGAGGCCTTCGTTGGAAACGGGATTTCTTCATATAATGCTAGACAGAAGAATTCTCAGTCACTTCTTTGTGTTGTGTGTATTCAAGTCACAGAGTTGAACCTTCCTTTACACAGAGCAGTTTTGAAAAACTCTTTCTGTGGAATTTGCAAGTGGAGATTTCAAGCGATTTGAGGCTAATCTTTGAAATGGAAATATCTTCGTGTAAAAACTACACAGAATCATTCTCAGAAACTGCTTTGTCATCTGTGCGTTCAGTTCACAGAGTTTCACCTTTCTCTTCATAGAGCAGTTTGGAAAGACTCTGTCTGTAAAGTCTGCAAGTGATTAGTTAGACCCCTTTGAGGCCTTCGTTGGAAGCGGGATTTCTCATTTACTGCTAGACAGAAGAATTCTCAGTAAATCCTTTGTTTTGTGTGTATTCAACTCACAGAGTGGAACCTTCCTTTATTCAGAGCGGTTTTGAAACACTCTTTTTGTGGAATTTGCAAGTGGAGATTTCAAGCGAATTCACGCCAATCTTAGACATGGAAACATCTTCGTATTAAAAGTACACAGAGTCATTCGCAGAAACTAGTTTGTGATGTGTGCCTTCAACTCACAGAGTTTAACCTTTCTTTTCATAGAGCAGTTTGGAAACACTCTATTTGTAAAGTCTGCAAGTGGATATTTGGACCTCTTTGAGGCCTTCGTTGGAAACGGGATTTCTTCATATAACGCTAGACAGAAGAATTCTCAGTAACTTCTTTGTGTTGTGTGTATTCAACTCACAGAGTTGAACCTTTCTTTAGAGAGAGCAGAGTTGAAACACTCTGTTTTTGGAATTTGCAAGTGCAGATTTCAAGCGCTTCTAGGCCTATGGCAGAAAAGGAAATATCTTCGTATAAAAACTACACAGAATCATTCTCAACAACTACTTTGTGATGTGTGCGTTCAACTCACAGAGTTTAACCTTTCTTTTCATAGAGCAGTTTGGAAACACTCTGTTTGTAAAGTCTGCAGGTGCTTATTTGGACTTCTTTGAGGCCTTCGTTGGAAACGGGATTTCTTCATATAATGCTAGACAGAAGAATTCTCAGTCACTTCTTTGTGTTGTGTGTATTCAAGTCACAGAGTTGAACCTTCCTTTAGACAGAGCAGTTTTGAAAAATTCTTTCTGTGGAGTTTGCAAGTGGAGATTTCAAGCGATTTGAGGCTAATCTTTGAAATGGAAATATCTTCGTGTAAAAACTACACAGAATCATTCTCAGAAACTGCTTTGTTATGTGTGCGTTCAGCTCACAGAGTTCCACCTTTCTTTTCATAGAGCAGTTTGGAAAGACTCTGTCTGTAAAGTCTGCAAGTGATTACTTGGACCCCTTTGAGGACTTCGTTGGAAGCGGGATTTTTTCATTTACTGCTAGACAGAAGAATTCTCAGTAAATCCTTTGTGTTGTGTGTATTCAACTCACAGAGTGGAACCTTCCTTTATTCAGAGCAGTTTTGAAACACTCTTTTTGTGGAAATTGCAAGTGGAGATTTCAAGCGAATTCACGCCAATCTTAGACATGGAAACATCTTCGTATTAAAAGTACACAGAGTCATTCGTAGAAACTAGTTTGTGATGTGTGCCTTCAACTCACAGAGTTTAACCTTTCTTTTCATAGAGCAGTTTGGAAACACTCTATTTGTAAAGTCTGCAAGTGGATATTTGGACCTCTTTGAGGCCTTCGTTGGAAACGGGATTTCTTCATACAACGCTAGACAGAAGAATTCTCAGTAACTTCTTTGTGTTGTGTGTATTCCACTCACAGTAGTTGAACCTTTCTTGAGAGAGAGCAGAGTTGAAACACTCTGTTTGTGGAATTTGCTAGTGCAGATTTCAAACGCTTCGAAGACAGTGATAGAAAAGGATATATCTTCGTATTAAAACTAGACAAAATCATTCTCAACAACTACTTTGTGATGTGTGCGTTCAACTCCCAGAGTTTAACCTTTCTTTTCATAGAGCAGTTTGGAAACACTCTGTTTGTAAAGCCTGCAAGTGCTTTTTTGGACTTCATTGAGGCCTTCGTTGGAAACGGGATTTCTTCACATAATGCTAGACAGAAGAATTCTCAGTCACTTCTTTGTGATGTGTGTATTCAAGTCACAGAGTTGAACCTTCCTTTAGACAGAGTAGTTTTGAAAAATTCTTTCTGTGGAGTTTGCAAGTGGAGATTTCAAGCGATTTGAGGCTAATCTTTGAAATGGAAATATCTTCGTGTAAAAACTATACAGAATCATTCTCAGAAACTGCTTTGTTATGTGTGCGTTCAGCTCACAGAGTTCCACCTTTCTTTTCATTGAGCAGTTTGGAAAGACTCTGTCTGTAAAGTCTGCAAGTGATTACTTGGACCCCTTTGAGGACTTCGTTGGAAGCGGGATTTTTTCATTTACTGCTAGACAGAAGAATTCTCAGTAAATCCTTTGTGTTGTGTGTATTCAACTCACAGAGTGGAACCTTCCTTTATTCAGAGCAGTTTTGAAACACTCTTTTTGTGGAATTTGCAAGTGGAGATTTCAAGCGAATTCACGCCAATCTTAGACATGGAAACATCTTCGTATTAAAAGTACACAGAGTCATTCGCAGAAACTAGTTTGTGATGTGTGCCTTCAACTCACGGAGTTTAACCTTTCTTTTCATAGAGCAGTTTGGAAACACTCTATTTGTAAAGTCTGCAAGTGGATATTTGGACCTCTTTGAGGCCTTCGTTGGAAACGGGATTTCTTCATATAACGCTAGACAGAAGAATTCTCAGTAACTTCTTTGTGTTGTGTGTATTCCACTCACAGAGTTGAACCTTTCTTGAGAGAGAGCAGAGTTGAAACACTCTTTCTGTGGAATTTGCTAGTGCAGATTTCAAACGCTTCGAAGACAGTGATAGAAAAGGATATATCTTCGTATTAAAACTAGACAAAATCATTCTCAACAACTACTTTGTGATGTGTGCGTTCAACTCACAGAGTTTAACCTTTCTTTTCATAGAGCAGTTTGGAAACACTCTGTTTGTAAAGTCTGCAGGTGCTTATTTGGACTTCTTTGAGGCCTTCGTTGGAAATGGGATTTCTTCATGTAATGCTAGACAGAAGAATTCTCAGTCACTTCTTTGTGTTGTGTGTATTCAAGTCACAGAGTTGAACCTTCCTTTAGACAGAGCAGTTTTGAAAAATTCTTTCTGTGGAGTTTGCAGGTGGAGATTTCAAGCGATTTGAGGCTAATCTTTGAAATGGAAATATCTTCGTGTAAAAACTACACAGAATCATTCTCAGAAACTGCTTTGTCATCTGTGCGTTCAGTTCACAGAGTTTCACCTTTCTCTTCATAGAGCAGTTTGGAAAGACTCTGTCTGTAAAGTCTGCAAGTGATTAGTTAGACCCCTTTGAGGCCTTCGTTGGAAGCGGGATTTCTCATTTACTGCTAGACAGAAGAATTCTCAGTAAATCATTTGTGTTGCGTTTATTCAACTCACAGAGTGGAACCTTCCTTTATTCAGAGCAGTTTTGAAACACTCTTTTTGTGGAATTTGCAAGTGGAGATTTCAAGCGATTTGACGCCAATCTTAGACATGGAAATATCTTCATATTAAAAGTACACAGAGTCATTCGTAGAAACTAGTTTGTGATGTGTGCCTTCAACTCACAGAGTTTAACCTTTCTTTTCATAGAGCAGTTGGGAAACACTCTATTTGTAAAGTCTGCAAGTGGATATTTGGACCTCTTTGAGGCCTTCGTTGGAAACGGGATTTCTTCATATAACGCTAGACAGAAGAATTCTCAGTAACTTCTTTGTGTTGTTTGTATTCAACTCACAGATTTGAACCTTCCTTTAGAGAGAGCAGATTTGAAACACTCTGTTTTTGGAATTTGCAAGTGCAGATTACAAGCGCTTCTAGGCCTATGGCAGAAAAGGAAAAATCTTCGTATAAAAACTACACAGAAATCATTCTCAACAACTACTTTGTGATGTGTGCGTTCAACTCACAGCAGTTTAACCTTTCTTTTCATAGAGCAGTTTGGAAACACTCTGTTTGTAAAGTCTGCAGGTGCTTATTTGGACTTCTTTGAGGCCTTCGTTGGAAACGGGATTTCTTCATATAATGCTAGACAGAAGAATTCTCAGTCACTTCTTTGTGTTGTGTGTATTCAAGTCACAGAGTTGAACCATCCTTTACACAGAGCAGTTTTGAAAAACTCTTTCTGTGGAATTTGCAAGTGGAGATTTCAAGCGATTTGAGGCTAATCTTTGAAATGGAAATAGCTTCGTGTAAAAACTACACAGAATCATTCTCAGAAACTGCTTTGTTATGTGTGCGTTCAGCTCACAGAGTTCCACCTTTCTTTTCATAGAGCAGTTTGGAAAGACTCTGTCTGTAAAGTCTGCAAGTGATTACTTGGACCCCTTTGAGGACTTCGTTGGAAGCGGGATTTTTTCATTTACTGCTAGACAGAAGAATTCTCAGTAAATCCTTTGTGTTGTGTGTATTCAACTCACAGAGTGGAACCTTCCTTTATTCAGAGCAGTTTTGAAACACTCTTTTTGTGGAATTTGCAAGTGGAGATTTCAAGCGATTTGACGCCAATCTTAGACATGGAAATATCTTCATATTAAAAGTACACAGAGTCATTCGCAGAAACTAGTTTGTGATGTGTGCCTTCAACTCACGGAGTTTAACCTTTCTTTTCATAGAGCAGTTTGGAAACACTCTATTTGTAAAGTCTGCAAGTGGATATTTGGACCTCTTTGAGGCCTTCGTTGGAAACGGGATTTCTTCATATAACGCTAGACAGAAGAATTCTCAGTAACTTCTTTGTGTTGTTTGTATTCAACTCACAGATTTGAACCTTCCTTTGGAGAGAGCAGATTTGAAACACTCTGTTTTTGGAATTTGCAAGAGCAGATTGCAAGTGCTTCTAGGCCTATGGCAGAAAAGGAAATATCTTCGTATAAAAACTACACAGAATCATTCTCAACAACTACTTTGTGATGTGTGCGTTCAACTCACAGCAGTTTAACCTTTCTTTTCATAGAGCAGTTTGGAAACACTCTGTTTGTAAAGTCTGCAGGTGCTTATTTGGACTTCTTTGAGGCCTTCGTTGGAAACGGGATTTCTTCATGTAATGCTAGACAGAAGAATTCTCAGTCACTTCTTTGTGTTGTGTGTATTGAAGTCACAGAGTTGAACCTTCCTTTACACAGAGCAGTTTTGAAAAACTCTTTCTGTGGAATTTGCAAGTGGAGATTTCAAGCGATTTGAGGCTAGTCTTTGAAATGGAAATATCTTCGTGTAAAAACTACACAGAGTCATTGTCAGAAACTGCTTTGTTATGTGTGCGTTCAGCTCACAGAGTTCCACCTTTGTTTTCATAGAGCAGTTTGGAAAGACTCTGTCTGTAAAGTCTGCAAGTGATTACTTGGACCCCTTTGAGGACTTCGTTGGAAGCGGGATTTTTTCATTTACTGCTAGACAGAAGAATTCTCAGTAAATCCTTTGTGTTGTGTGTATTCAACTCACAGAGTGGAACCTTCCTCTATTCAGAGCAGTTTTGAAACATTCTTTTTGTGGAATTTGCAGGTGGAGATTTCAAGCGAATTCACGCCAATCTTAGACATGGAAACATCTTCGTATTAAAAGTACACAGAGTCATTCGCAGAAACTAGTTTGTGATGTGTGCCTTCAACTCACGGAGTTTAACCTTTCTTTTCATAGAGCAGTTTGGAAACACTCTATTTGTAAAGTCTGCAAGTGGATATTTGGACCTCTTTGAGGCCTTCGTTGGAAACGGGATTTCTTCATATAACGCTAGACAGAAGAATTCTCAGTAACTTCTTTGTGTTGTTTGTATTCAACACACAGATTTGAACCTTCCTTTAGAGAGAGCAGATTTGAAACACTCTGTTTTTGGAATTTGCAACTGCAGATTTCAAGCGATTCTAGGCCTATGGCAGAAAAGGAAATATCTTCGTATAAAAACTACACAGAATCATTCTCAACAACTACTTTGTGATGTGTGTGTTCAACTCACAGAGTTTAACCTTTCTTTTCATAGAGCAGTTTGGAAACACTCTGTTTGTAAAGTCTGCAGGTGCTTATTTGGACTTCTTTGAGGCCTTCGTTGGAAACGGGATTTCTTCATGTAATGCTAGACAGAAGAATTCTCAGTCCCTTCTTTGGGTTGTGTGTATTCAAGTCACAGAGTTGAACCTTCCTTTACACAGAGCAGTTTTGAAAAACTCTTTCTGTGGAATTTGCAAGTGGAGATTTCAAGCGATTTGAGGCTAATCTTTGAAATGGAAATAGCTTCGTGTAAAAACTACACAGAACCATTCTCAGAAACTGCTTTGTTATGTGTGCGTTCAGCTCACAGAGTTCCACCTTTCTTTTCATAGAGCAGTTTGGAAAGACTCCGTCTGTAAAGTCTGCAAATGATTACTTGGACCCCTTTGAGGACTTCGTTGGAAGCGGGATTTTTTCATTTACTGCTAGACAGAAGAATTCTCAGTAAATCATTTGTGTTGCGTTTATTCAACTCACAGAGTGGAACCTTCCTTTATTCAGAGCAGTTTTGAAACACTCTTTTTGTGGAATTTGCAAGTGGAGATTTCAAGCGATTTGACGCCAATCTTAGACATGGAAATATCTTCATATTAAAAGTACACAGAGTCATTCGCAGAAACTAGTTTGTGATGTGTGCCTTCAACTCACGGAGTTTAACCTTTCTTTTCATAGAGCAGTTTGGAAACACTCTATTTGTAAAGTCTGCAAGTGGATATTTGGACCTCTTTGAGGCCTTCGTTGGAAACGGGATTTCTTCATATAACGCTAGACAGAAGAATTCTCACTAACTTCTTTGTGTTGTGTGTATTCAACTCACAGAGTTGAACCTTTCTTGAGAGAAAGCAGATTTGAAACACTCTATTTGTGGAATTTGCTAGTGCAGATTTCATACGCTTCGAAGACAATGATAGAAAAGGATATAACTTCATATTAAAACTAGACAAAATCATTCTCAGAAAACACTTTGTGATGTGTGTGTTCAACTCACAGAGTTTAACCTTTCTTTTATTGAGCAGTTTGGAAATACACTCTTTGTAAGTCTGCAAGTGGACAATTGGCCCTCTTTGAGCCCTTCGTTAGAAACGGGATTTCCTCATATAATGCTAGACAGAAGAATTCTCAGTAACTTCTTTGTGTTGTTTGTATTCAACTCACAGATTTGAACGTTCTTTAGAGAGAGCAGATTTGAAACACTCTGTTCTTGGAATTTGCAAGTGCAGATTTCAAGCGCTTCTAGGCCTATGGCAGAAAAGGAAATATCTTCGTATAAAAACTACACGGAATCATTCTCAGAAAACTCTTTGTGATGTGTGTGTTCAACTCACAGAGTTTAACCTTTCTTTAATCGAGCAGTTTGGAAATACACTCTTTGTAAGTCTGCAGGTGGATATTTGTCCCTCTTTGAGCCCTTCGTTGGAAACGGGATTTCCTCATATAATGCTAGACAGAAGAATTCTCAGTCACTTCTTTGTGTTGTGTGTATTCAAGTCACAGAGTTGAACCTTCCTTTACACAGAGCAGTTTTGAAAAACTCTTTCTGTGGAATTTGCAAGTGGAGATTTCAAGCGATTTGAGGCTAATCTTTGAAATGGAAATATCTTCGTGTAAAAACTACACAGAATCATTGTCAGAAACTGCTTTGTTATGTGTGCGTTCAGCTCACAGAGTTCCACCTTTCTTTTCATAGAGCAGTTTGGAAAGACTCTGTCTGTAAAGTCTGCAAGTGATTACTTGGACCCCTTTGAGGACTTCGTTGGAAGCGGGATTTTTTCATTTACTGCTAGACAGAAGAATTCTCAGTAAATCCTTTCTGTTGTGTGTATTCAACTCACAGAGTGGAACCTTCCTTTATTCAGAGCAGTTTTGAAACACTCTTTTTGTGGAATTTGCAAGTGGAGATTTCAAGCGAATTCACGCCAATCTTAGACATGGAAACATCTTCGTATTAAAAGTACACAGAGTCATTCGCAGAAACTAGTTTGTGATGTGTGCCTTCAACTCACGGAGTTTAACCTTTCTTTTCATAGAGCAGTTTGGAAACACTCTATTTGTAAAGTCTGCAAGTGGATATTTGGACCTCTTTGAGGCCTTCGTTGGAAACGGGATTTCTTCATATAACGCTAGACAGAAGAATTCTCAGTAACTTCTTTGTGTTGTGTGTATTCAACTCACAGAGTTGAACCTTTCTTTAGAGAGAGCAGAGTTGAAACACTCTGTTTTTGGAATTTGCAACTGCAGATTTCAAGCGATTCTAGGCCTATGGCAGAAAAGGAAATATCTTCGTATAAAAACTACACAGAATCATTCTCAACAACTACTTTGTGATGTGTGCGTTCAACTCACAGAGTTTAACCTTTCTTTTCATAGAGCAGTTTGGAAACACTCTGTTTGTAAAGCCTGCAAGTGCTTTTTTGGACTTCATTGAGGCCTTCGTTGGAAACGGGATTTCTTCATATAATGCTAGACAGAAGAATTCTCAGTCACTTCTTTGTGTTGTGTGTATTCAAGTCACAGAGTTGAACCTTCTTTTAGACAGAGCAGTTTTGAAAAATTCTTTCTGTGGAGTTTGCAAGTGGAGATTTCAAGCGATTTGAGGCTAATCTTTGAAATGGAAATATCTTCGTGTAAAAACTACACAGAATCATTCTCAGAAACTGCTTTGTCATCTGTGCGTTCAGTTCACAGAGTTTAACCTTTCTCTTCATAGAGCAGATTGGAAAGACTCTGTCTGTAAAGTCCGCAAGTGATTAGTTAGACCCCTTTGAGGCCTTCATTGGAAGCGGGATTTCTCATTTACTGCTAGACAGAAGAATTCTCAGTAAATCCCTTGTGTTGTGTGTATTCAACTCACAGAGTGGAACCTTCCTTTATTCAGAGCAGTTTTGAAACACTCTTTTTGTGGAATTTGCAAGTGGAGATTTCAAGCGAATTCACGCCAATCTTAGACATGGAAACATCTTCGTATTAAAAGTACACAGAGTCATTCGCAGAAACTTGTTTGTGATGTGTGCCTTCAACTCACAGAGTTTAACCTTTCTTTTCATAGAGCAGTTTGGAAACACTCTATTTGTAAAGTCTGCAAGTGGATATTTGGACCTCTTTGAGGCCTTCGTTGGAAACGGGATTTCTTCATATAACGCTAGACAGAAGAATTCTCAGTAACTTCTTTGTGTTGTGTGTATTCAACTCACAGAGTTGAACCTTTCTTTAGAGGGAGCAGAGGTGAAACACTCTTTTTGTGGAATTTGCTAGTGTAGATTTCAAACGCTTCGAAGACAGTGATAGAAAAGGATATATCTTCGTATTAAAAGTAGACAAAATCATTCTCAGAAAACACTTTGTGATGTGTGTGTTCAACTCACAGAGTTTAACCTTTCTTTAATCGAGCAGTTTGGAAATACACTCTTTGTAAGTCTGCAGCTGGATAATTGTCCCTCTATGAGCCCTTCGTTGGAAACAGGATTTCCTCTTATAATGCTAGACAGAAGAATTCTCAGTCACTTCTTTGTGTTGTGTGTATTCAAGTCACAGAGTTGAACCTTCCTTTAGACAGAGCAGTTTTGAAAAATTCTTTCTGTGGAGTTTGCAAGTGGAGATTTCAAGCGATTTGAGGCTAATCTTTGAAATGGAAATATCTTCGTGTAAAAACTACACAGAATCATTCTCAGAAACTGCTTTGTTATGTGTGCGTTCAGCTCACAGAGTTCCACCTTTCTTTTCATAGAGCAGTTTGGAAAGACTCTGTCTGTAAAGTCTGCAAGTGATTACTTGGACCCCTTTGAGGACTTCGTTGGAAGCGGGATTTTTTCATTTACTGCTAGACAGAAGAATTCTCAGTAAATCCTTTGTGTTGTGTGTATTCAACTCACAGAGTGGAACCTTCCTTTATTCAGAGCAGTTTTGAAACACTCTTTTTGTGGAATTTGCAAGTGGAGATTTCAAGCGATTTGACGCCAATCTTAGACATGGAAATATCTTCATATTAAAAGTACACAGAGTCATTCGTAGAAACTAGTTTGTGATGTGTGCCTTCAACTCACAGAGTTTAACCTTTCTTTTCATAGAGCAGTTGGGAAACACTCTATTTGTAAAGTCTGCAAGTGGATATTTGGACCTCTTTGAGGCCTTCGTTGGAAACGGGATTTCTTCATATAACGCTAGACAGAAGAATTCTCAGTAACTTCTTTGTGTTGTGTGTATTCAACTCACAGCAGTTGAACCTTTCTTTAGAGAGAGCAGAGTTGAAACACTCTGTTTTTGGAATTTGCAAGTGCAGATTTCAAGCGATTCTAGGCCTATGGCAGAAAAGGAAATATCTTCGTATAAAAACTACACAGAATCATTCTCAACAACTACTTTGTGATGTGTGCGTTCAACTCACAGAGTTTAACCTTTCTTTTCATAGAGCAGTTTGGAAACACTCTGTTTGTAAAGTCTGCAGGTGCTTATTTGGACTTCTTTGAGGCCTTCGTTGGAAACGGGATTTCTTCATATAATGCTAGACAGAAGAATTCTCAGTCACTTCTTTGTGTTGTGTGTATTCAAGTCACAGAGTTGAACCTTCCTTTACACAGAGCAGTTTTGAAAAACTCTTTCTGTGGAATTTGCAAGTGGAGATTTCAAGCGATTTGAGGCTAATCTTTGAAATGGAAATATCTTCGTGTAAAAACTACACAGAATCATTCTCAGAAACTGCTTTGTTATGTGTGCGTTCAGCTCACAGAGTTCCACCTTTCTTTTCATAGAGCAGTTTGGAAAGACTCTGTCTGTAAAGTCTGCAAGTGATTACTTGGACCCCTTTGAGGACTTCGTTGGAAGCGGGATTTTTTCATTTACTGCTAGACAGAAGAATTCTCAGTAAATCCTTTGTGTTGTGTGTATTCAACTCACAGAGTGGAACCTTCCTTTATTCAGAGCAGTTTTGAAACACTCTTTTTGTGGAATTTGCAAGTGGAGATTTCAAGCGAATTCACGCCAATCTTAGACATGGAAACATCTTCGTATTAAAAGTACACAGAGTCATTCGTAGAAACTAGTTTGTGATGTGTGCCTTCAACTCACAGAGTTTAACCTTTCTTTTCATAGAGCAGTTGGGAAACACTCTATTTGTAAAGTCTGCAAGTGGATATTTGGACCTCTTTGAGGCCTTCGTTGGAAACGGGATTTCTTCATATAACGCTAGACAGAAGAATTCTCAGTAACTTCTTTGTGTTGTTTGTATTCAACTCACAGATTTGAACCTTCCTTTAGAGAGAGCAGATTTGAAACACTCTGGTTTTGGAATTTGCAAGTGCAGATTACAAGCGCTTCTAGGCCTATGGCAGAAAAGGAAATATCTTCGTATAAAAACTACACAGAATCATTCTCAACAACTACTTTGTGATGTGTGCGTTCAACTCACAGAGTTTAACCTTTCTTTTCATAGAGCAGTTTGGAAACACTCTGTTTGTAAAGTCTGCAGCTGCTTATTTGGACTTCTTTGAGGCCTTCGTTGGAAACGGGATTTCTTCATATAATGCTAGACAGAAGAATTCTCAGTCACTTCTTTGTGTTGTGTGTATTCAAGTCACACAGTTGAACCTTCCTTTACACAGAGCAGTTTTGAAGAACTCTTTCTGTGGAATTTGCAAGTGGAGATTTCAAGGGATTTCAGGCTAATCTTTGAAATGGAAATATCTTCGTGTGAAAACTACACAGAATCATTCTCAGAAACTGCTTTGTTATGTGTGCGTTCAGCTCGCAGAGTTCCACCTTTCTTTTCATAGAGCAGTTTGGAAAGACTCTGTCTGTAAAGTCTGCAAGTGATTACTTGGACCCCTTTGAGGACTTCGTTGGAAGCGGGATTTTTTCATTTACTGCTAGACAGAAGAATTCTCAGTAAATCCTTTGTGTTGTGTGTATTCAACTCACAGAGTGGAACCTTCCTTTATTCAGAGCAGTTTTGAAACACTCTTTTTGTGGAATTTGCAAGTGGAGATTTCAAGCGATTTGACGCCAATCTTAGACATGGAAATATCTTCATATTAAAAGTACACAGAGTCATTCGCAGAAACTAGTTTGTGATGTGTGCCTTCAACTCACGGAGTTTAACCTTTCTTTTCATAGAGCAGTTTGGAAACACTCTATTTGTAAAGTCTGCAAGTGGATATTTGGACCTCTTTGAGGCCTTCGTTGGAAACGGGATTTCTTCATATAACGCTAGACAGAAGAATTCACAGTAACTTCTTTGTGTTGTTTGTATTCAACTCACAGATTTGAACCTTCCTTTAGAGAGAGCAGATTTGAAACACTCTGTTTTCGAATTTGCAAGTGCAGATTACAAGCGCTTCTAGGCCTATGGCAGAAAAGGAAATATCTTCGTATAAAAACTACACAGAATCATTCTCAACAACTACTTTGTGATGTGTGCGTTCAACTCACAGAGTTTAACCTTTCTTTTCATAGAGCAGTTTGGAAACACTCTGTTTGTAAAGTCTGCAGGTGCTTATTTGGACTTCTTTGAGGCCTTCGTTGGAAACGGGATTTCTTCATATAATGCTAAACAGAAGAATTCTCAGTCACTTCTTTGTGTTGTGTGTATTCAAGTCACAGAGTTGAACCTTCCTTTACACAGAGCAGTTTTGAAAAACTCTTTCTGTGGAATTTGCAAGTGGAGATTTCAAGCGATTTGAGGCTAATCTTTGAAATGGAAATATCTTCGTGTAAAAACTACACAGAATCATTCTCAGAAACTGCTTTGTTATGTGTGCGTTCAGCTCACAGAGTTCCACCTTTCTTTTCATAGAGCAGTTTGGAAAGACTCTGTCTGTAAAGTCTGCAAGTGATTACTTGGACCCCTTTGAGGACTTCGTTGGAAGCGGGATTTTTTCATTTACTGCTAGACAGAAGAATTCTCAGTAAATCCTTTGTGTTGTGTGTATTCAACTCACAGAGTGGAACCTTCCTTTATTCAGAGCAGTTTTGAAACACTCTTTTTGTGGAATTTGCAAGTGGAGATTTCAAGCGAATTCACGCCAATCTTAGACATGGAAACATCTTCGTATTAAAAGTACACAGAGTCATTCGCAGAAACTAGTTTGTGATGTGTGCCTTCAACTCACGGAGTTTAACCTTTCTTTTCATAGAGCAGTTTGGAAACACTCTATTTGTAAAGTCTGCAAGTGGATATTTGGACCTCTTTGAGGCCTTCGTTGGAAACGGGATTTCTTCATATAACGCTAGACAGAAGAATTCTCAGTAACTTCTTTGTGTTGTGTGTATTCCACTCACAGAGTTGAACCTTTCTTGAGAGAGAGCAGAGTTGAAACACTCTGTTTGTGGAATTTGCTAGTGCAGATTTCAAACGCTTCGAAGACAGTGATAGAAAAGGATATATCTTCGTATTAAAACTAGACAAAATCATTCTCAGAAAACACTTTGTGATGTGTGTGTTCAACTCACAGAGTTTAACCTTTCTGTAATCGAGCAGTTTGGAAATACACTCTTTGTAAGTCTGCAGGTGGATAATTGTCCCTCTATGAGCCCTTCGTTGGAAACGGGATTTCCTCATATAATGCTAGACAGAAGAATTCTCAGTCACTTCTTTGTGTTGTGTGTATTCAAGTCACAGAGTTGAACCTTCCTTTACACAGAGCAGTTTTGAAAAACTCTTTCTGTGGAATTTGCAAGTGGAGATTTCAAGCGATTTGAGGCTAATCTTTGAAATGGAAATATCTTCGTGTAAAAACTACACAGAATCATTCTCAGAAACTTCTTTGTTATGTGTGCGTTCAGCTCACAGAGTTCCACCTTTCTTTTCATAGAGCAGTTTGGAAAGACTCTGTCTGTAAAGTCTGCAAGTGATTACTTGGACCCCTTTGAGGACTTCGTTGGAAGCGGGATTTTTTCATTTACTGCTAGACAGAAGAATTCTCAGTAAATCCTTTGTGTTGTGTGTATTCAACTCACAGAGTGGAACCTTCCTTTATTCAGAGCAGTTTTGAAACACTCTTTTTGTGGAATTTGCAAGTGGAGATTTCAAGCGATTTGACGCCAATCTTAGACATGGAAATATCTTCATATTAAAAGAACACAGAGTCATTCGTAGAAACTAGTTTGTGATGTGTGCCTTCAACTCACAGAGTTTAACCTTTCTTTTCATAGAGCAGTTCGGAAACACTCTATTTGTAAAGTCTGCAAGTGGATATTTGGACCTCTTTGAGGCCTTCGTTGGAAACGGGATTTCTTCATATAACGCTAGACAGAAGAATTCTCAGTAACTTCTTTGTGTTGTTTGTATTCAACTCACAGATTTGAACCTTCCTTTAGAGAGAGCAGATTTGAAACACTCTGTTTTTGGAATTTGCAAGTGCAGATTTCAGGCGCTTCTAGGCCTATGGCAGAAAAGGAAATATCTTCGTATAAAAACTACACAGAATCATTCTCAACAACTACTTTGTGATGTGTGCGTTCAACTCACAGAGTTTAACCTTTCTTTTCATAGAGCAGTTTGGAAACACTCTGTTTGTAAAGCCTGTAAGTGCTTTTTTGGACTTCATTGAGGCCTTCGTTGGAAACGGGATTTCTTCATATAATGCTAGACAGAAGAATTCTCAGTCACTTCTTTGTGTTGTGTGTATTCAAGTCACAGAGTTGAACCTTCTTTTAGACAGAGCAGTTTTGAAAAATTCTTTCTGTGGAATTTGCAATTGGAGATTTTAAGAGATTTGAGGCTAATCTTTGAAATGGAAATATCTTCGTGTAAAAACTACACAGAATCATTCTCAGAAACTGCTTTGTCATCTGTGCGTTCAGTTCACAGAGTTTCACCTTTCTCTTCATAGAGCAGTTTGGAAAGACTCTGTCTGTAAAGTCTGCAAGTGATTAGTTAGACCCCTTTGAGGCCTTCGTTGGAAGCGGGATTTCTCATTTACTGCTAGACAGAAGAATTCTCAGTAAATCCTTTGTGTTGTGTGTATTCAACTCACAGAGTGGAACCTTCCTTTATTCAGAGCAGTTTTGAAAAACACTTTTTGTGGAATTTGCAAGTGGAGATTTCAAGCGATTTGACGCCAATCTTAGACATGGAAATATCTTCATATTAAAAGTACACAGAGTCATTCGCAGAAACTAGTTTGTGATGTGTGCCTTCAACTCACAGAGTTTAACCTTTCTTTTCATAGAGCAGTTTGGAAACACTCTATTTGTAAAGTCTGCAAGTGGATATTTGGACCTCTTTGAGGCCTTCGTTGGAAACGGGATTTCTTCATATAACGCTAGACAGAAGAATTCTCAGTAACTTCTTTGTGTTGTTTGTATTCAACTCACAGATTTGAACCTTCCTTTGGAGAGAGCAGATTTGAAACACTCTGTTTTTGGAATTTGCAAGTGCAGATTGCAAGCGCTTCTAGGCCTATGGCAGAAAAGGAAATATCTTCGTATAAAAACTACACAGAATCATTCTCAACAACTACTTTGTGATGTCTGCGTTCAACTCACAGAGTTTAACCTTTCTTTTCATAGAGCAGTTTGGAAACACTCTGTTTGTAAAGTCTGCAGGTGCTTATTTGGACTTCTTTGAGGCCCTCGTTGGAAACGGGATTTCTTCATATAATGCTAGACAGAAGAATTCTCAGTCACTTCTTTGTGTTGTGTGTATTCAAGTCACAGAGTTCAGCCTTCCTTTAGACAGAGCAGTTTTGAAAAACTCTTTCTGTGGAATTTGAAGTGGAGATTTCAAGCGATTTGAGGCTAATCTTTGAAATGGAAATATCTTCGTGTAAAAACTACACAGAATCATTCTCAGAAACTTCTTTGTTATGTGTGCGTTCAGCTCACAGAGTTCCACCTTTCTTTTCATAGAGCAGTTTGGAAAGACTCTGTCTGTAAAGTCTGCAATTGATTACTTGGACCCCTTTGAGGACTTCGTTGGAAGCGGGATTTTTTCATTTACTGCTAGACAGAAGAATTCTCAGTAAATCCTTTGTGTTGTGTGTATTCAACTCACAGAGTGGAACCTTCCTTTATTCAGAGCAGTTTTGAAACAGTCTTTTTGTGGAATTTGCAAGTGGAGATTTCAAGCGATTTGACGCCAATCTTAGACATGGAGATATCTTCATATTAAAAGTACACAGAGTCATTCGCAGAAACTAGTTTGTGATGTGTGCCTTCAACTCACAGAGTTTAACCTTTCTTTTCATAGAGCAGTTTGGAAACACTCTATTTGTAAAGTCTGCAAGTGGATATTTGGACGTCTTTGCGGCCTTCGTTGGAAACGGGATTTCTTCATATAACGCTAGACAGAAGAATTCTCAGTAACTTCTTTGTGTTGTGTGTATTCAACTCACAGAGTTGAACCTTTCTTTAGAGAGAGCAGAGTTGAAACACTCTGTTTTTGGAATTTGCAAGTGCAGATTTCAAGCGATTCTAGGCCTATGGCAGGAAAGGAAATATGCTTCGTATAAAAACTACACAGAAATCATTCTCAACAACTACTTTGTGATGTGTGCGTTCAACTCACAGAGTTTAACCTTTCTTTTCATAGAGCAGTTTGGAAACACTCTGTTTGTAAAGCCTGCAAGTGCTTCTTTGGACTTCATTGAGGCCTTCGTTGGAAACGGGATTTCTTCATATAATGCTAGACAGAAGAATTCTCAGTCACTTCTTTGTGTTGTTTGTATTGAAGTCACAGAGTTGAACCTTCCTTTAGACAGAGCAGTTTTGAAAAATTCTTTCTGTGGAATTTGCAAGTGGAGATTTCAAGCGATTTGAGGCTAATCTTTGAAATGGAAATATCTTCGTGAAAAACTACACAGAATCATTGTCAGAAACTGCTTTGTTATGTGTGCGTTCAGCTCACAGAGTTCCACCTTTCTTTTCATAGAGCAGTTTGGAAAGACTCTGTCTGTAAAGTCTGCAAGTGATTACTTGGACCCCTTTGAGGACTTCGTTGGAAGCGGGATTTTTTCATTTACTGCTAGACAGAAGAATTCTCAGTAAATCCTTTGTGTTGTGTGTATTCAACTCACAGAGTGGAACCTTCCTTTATTCAGAGCACTTTTGAAACACTCTTTTTGTGGAAATTGCAAGTGGAGATTTCAAGCGAATTCACGCCAATCTTAGACATGGAAACATCTTCGTATTAAAAGTACACAGAGTCATTCGTAGAAACTAGTTTGTGATGTGTGCCTTCAACTCACAGAGTTTAACCTTTCTTTTCATAGAGCAGTTGGGAAACACTCTATTTGTAAAGTCTGCAAGTGGATATTTGGACCTCTTTGAGGCCTTCGTTGGAAACGGGATTTCTTCATATAACGCTAGACAGAAGAATTCTCAGTAACTTCTTTGTGTTGTGTGTATTCAACTCACAGAGTTGAACCTTTCTTGAGAGAGAGCAGAGTTGAAACACTCTTTCTGTGGAATTTGCTAGTGCAGATTTCAAACGCTTCGAAGACAGTGATAGAAAAGGATATATCTTCGTATTAAAACTAGACAAAATCATTCTCAGAAAACACTTTGTGATGTGTGTGTTCAACTCACAGAGTTTAACCTTTCTTTAATCGAGCAGTTTGGAAATACACTCTTTGTAAGTCTGCAGCTGGATAATTGTCCCTCTAGGAGCCCTTCGTTGGAAACGGGATTTCCTCTTATAATGCTAGACAGAAGAATTCTCAGTCACTTCTTTGTGTTGTGTGTATTCAAGTCACAGAGTTGAACCTTCCTTTACACAGAGCAGTTTTGAAAAACTCTTTCTGTGGAATTTGCAAGTGGAGATTTCAAGCGATTTGAGGCTAATCTTTGAAATGGAAATATCTTCGTGTAAAAACTACACAGAATCATTGTCAGAAACTGCTTTGTTATGTGTGCGTTCAGCTCACAGAGTTCCACCTTTCTTTTCATAGAGCAGTTTGGAAAGACTCTGTCTGTAAAGTCTGCAAGTGATTACTTGGACCCCTTTGAGGACTTCGTTGGAAGCGGGATTTTTTCATTTACTGCTAGACAGAAGAATTCTCAGTAAATCCTTTGTGTTGTGTGTATTCAACTCACAGAGTGGAACCTTCCTTTATTCAGAGCAGTTTTGAAACACTCTTTTTGTGAAATTTGCAAGTGGAGATTTCAAGCGATTTGACGCCAATCTTAGACATGGAAATATCTTCATATTAAAAGTACACAGAGTCATTCGCAGAAACTAGTTTGTGATGTGTGCCTTCAACTCACGGAGTTTAACCTTTCTTTTCATAGAGCAGTTTGGAAACACTCTATTTGTAAAGTCTGCAAGTGGATATTTGGACCTCTTTGAGGCCTTCGTTGGAAACGGGATTTCTTCATATAACGCTAGACAGAAGAATTCTCAGTAACTTCTTTGTGTTGTGTGTATTCAACTCACAGAGTTGAACCTTTCTTGAGAGAGAGCAGAGTTGAAACACTCTGTTTGTGGAATTTGCTAGTGCAGATTTCAAACGCTTCGAAGACAGTGATAGAAAAGGATATATCTTCGTATTAAAACTAGACAAAATCATTCTCAACAACTACTTTGTGATGTGTGCGTTCAACTCACAGAGTTTAACCTTTCTTTTCATAGAGCAGTTTGGAAACACTCTGTTTGTAAAGCCTGCAAGTGCTTTTTTGGACTTCATTGAGGCCTTCGTTGGAAACGGGATTTCTTCATATAATGCTAGACAGAAGCATTCTCAGTCACTTCTTTGTGTTGTGTTTATTCAAGTCACAGAGTTGAACCTTCCTTTAGACAAAGCAGTTTTGAAAATTTCTTTCTCTGGAATTTGCAAGTGGAGATTTCAAGGGATTTGAGGCTAATCTTTGAAATGGAAATATCTTCGTGTAAAAACTATACAGAATCATTGTCAGAAACTGCTTTGTTATGTGTGCGTTCAGCTCACAGAGTTCCACCTTTCTTTTCATAGAGCAGTTTGGAAAGACTCTGTCTGTAAAGTCTGCAAGTGATTACTTGGACCCCTTTGAGGACTTCGTTGGAAGCGGGATTTTTTCATTTACTGCTAGACAGAAGAATTCTCAGTAAATCCTTTGTGTTGTGTGTATTCAACTCACAGAGTGGAACCTTCCTTTATTCAGAGCAGTTTTGAAACACTCTTTTTGTGGAATTTGCAAGTGGAGATTTCAAGCGAATTCACGCCAATCTTAGACATGGAAACATCTTCGTATTAAAAGTACACAGAGTCATTCGCAGAAACTAGTTTGTGATGTGTGCCTTCAACTCACGGAGTTTAACCTTTCTTTTCATAGAGCAGTTTGGAAACACTCTATTTGTAAAGTCTGCAAGTGGATATTTGGACCTCTTTGAGGCCTTCGTTGGAAACGGGATTTCTTCATATAACGCTAGACAGAAGAATTCTCAGTAACTTCTTTGTGTTGTTTGTATTCAACTCACAGATTTGAACCTTCCTTTAGAGAGAGCAGATTTGAAACACTCTGTTTTTGGAATTTGCAAGTGCAGATTACAAGCGCTTCTAGGCCTATGGCAGAAAAGGAAATATGCTTCGTATAAAAACTACACAGAGTCATTCGCAGAAACTAGTTTGTGATGTGTGCGTTCAACTCACAGAGTTTAACCTTTCTTTTCATAGAGCAGTTTGGAAACACTCTGTTTGTAAAGTCTGCAGGTGCTTATTTGGACTTCTATGAGGCCTTCGTTGGATACGGGATTTCTTCATATAATGCTAGACAGAAGAATTCTCAGTCACTTCTTTGTGTTTTGTGTATTCAAGTCACAGAGTTGAACCTTCCTTTACACAGAGCAGTTTTGAAAAACTCTTTCTGTGGAATTTGCAAGTGGAGATTTCAAGCGATTTGAGGCTAATCTTTGAAATGGAAATAGCTTCGTGTAAAAACTACACAGAATCATTCTCAGACACTGCTTTGTTATCTGTGCGTTCAGTTCACAGAGTTTCACCTTTCTGTTCATAGAGCAGTTTGGAAAGACTCTGTCTGTAAAGTCTGCAAGTGATTAGTTAGACCCCTTTGAGGTCTTCGTTGGAAGCGGGATTTCTCATTTACTGCTAGACAGAAGAATTCTCAGTAAATCCTTTGTGTTGTGTGTATTCAACTCACAGAGTGGAAACTTCCTTTATTCAGAGCAGTTTTGAAACACTCTTTTTGTGGAATTTGCAAGTGGAGATTTCAAGCGATTTGACGCCAATCTTAGACATGGAAATATCTTCATATTAAAAGTACACAGAGTCATTCGTAGAAACTAGTTTGTGAAGTGTGCCTTCAGCTCACAGAGTTTAACCTTTCTTTTCATAAAGCAGTTTGGAAACACTCTATTTGTAAAATCTGCAAGTGGATATTTGGACCTCTTTGAGGCCTTCGTTGGTAACGGGATTTCTTCATATAACGCTAGACAGAAGAATTCTCAGTAACTTCTTTGTGTTATGTGTATTCAACTCACAGAGTTGAACCTTTCTTGAGAGAGAGCAGAGGTGAAACACTCTTTTTGTGGAATTTGCTAGTGCAGATTTCAAAAGCTTCGAAGACAGTGATAGAAAAGGATATATCTTCGCATTAAAACTAGACAAAATCATTCTCAACAACTACTTTGTGATGTGTGCGTTCAACTCACAGAGTTTAACCTTTCTTTTCATAGAGCAGTTTGGAAACACTCTGTTTGTAAAGTCTGCAGGTGCTTATTTGGACTTCTTTGAGGCCTTCGTTGGAAACGGGATTTCTTCATATAATGCTAGACAGAAGAATTCTCAGTAACTTCTTTGTGTTGTGTGTATTCAAGTCACAGAGTTGAACCTTCCTTTAGACAGAGCAGTTTTGAAAAATTCTTTCTGTGTAATTTGCAAGTGGAGATTTCAAGCGATTTGAGGCTAATCTTTGAAATGGAAATATCTTCGTGTAAAAACTACACAGAATCATTCTCAGAAACTGCTTTGTTATGTGTGCGTTCAGCTCACAGAGTTCCACCTTTCTTTTCATAGAGCAGTTTGGAAAGACTCTGTCTGTAAAGTCTGCAAGTGATTACTTGGACCCCTTTGAGGACTTCGTTGGAAGCGGGATTTTTTCATTTACTGCTAGACAGAAGAATTCTCAGTAAATCCTTTGTGTTGTGTGTATTCAACTCACAGAGTGGAACCTTCCTTTATTCAGAGCAGTTTTGAAACACTCTTTTTGTGGAATTTGCAAGTGGAGATTTCAAGCGAATTCACGCCAATCTTAGACATGGAAACATCTTCGTATTAAAAGTACACAGAAGTCATTCGCAGAAACTAGTTTGTGATGTGTGCCTTCAACTCACAGTAGTTTAACCTTTCTTTTCATAGAGCAGTTTGGAAACACTCTATTTGTAAAGTCTGCAAGTGGATATTTGGACCTCTTTGAGGCCTTCGTTGGAAACGGGATTTCTTCATACAACGCTAGACAGAAGAATTCTCAGTAACTTCTTTGTGTTGTTTGTATTCAACTCACAGATTTGAACCTTCCTTTGGAGAGAGCAGATTTGAAACACTCTGTTTTTGGAATTTGCAAGTGCAGATTGCAAGCGCTTCTAGGCCTATGGCAGAAAAGGAAATATCTTCGTATAAAAACTACACAGAAATCATTCTCAACAACTACTTTGTGATGTGTGCGTTCAACTCACAGAGTTTAACCTTTCTTTTCATAGAGCAGTTTGGAAACACTCTGTTTGTAACGCGTGCAAGTGCTTTTTTGGACTTCATTGAGGCCTTCGTTGGAAACGGGATTTCTTCATATAATGCTAGACGGAAGAATTCTCAGTCACTTCTTTGTGTTGTGTGTATTCAAGTCACAGAGTTGAACCTTCCTTTAGACAGAGCAGTTTTGAAAAATTCTTTCTGTGTAATTTGCAAGTGGAGATTTCAAGCGATTTGAGGCTAATCTTTGAAATGGAAATATCTTCGTGTAAAAACTACACAGAATCATTCTCAGAAACTGCTTTGTTATGTGTGCGTTCAGCTCACAGAGTTCCACCTTTCTTTTCATAGAGCAGTTTGGAAAGACTCTGTCTGTAAAGTCTGCAAGTGATTACTTGGACCCCTTTGAGGACTTCGTTGGAAGCGGGATTTTTTCATTTACTGCTAGACAGAAGAATTCTCAGTAAATCCTTTGTGTTGTGTGTATTCAACTCACAGAGTGGAACCTTCCTTTATTCAGAGCAGTTTTGAAACACTCTTTTTGTGGAATTTGCAAGTGGAGATTTCAAGCGATTTGACGCCAATCTTAGACATGGAAATATCTTCATATTAAAAGTACACAGAGTCATTCGCAGAAACTAGTTTGTGATGTGTGCCTTCAACTCACGGAGTTTAACCTTTCTTTTCATAGAGCAGTTTGGAAACACTCTATTTGTAAAGTCTGCAAGTGGATATTTGGACCTCTTTGAGGCCTTCGTTGGAAACGGGATTTCTTCATATAACGCTAGACAGAAGAATTCTCAGTAACTTCTTTGTGTTGTGTGTATTCAACTCACAGAGTTGAACCTTTCTTTAGAGAGAGCAGAGTTGAAACACTCTGTTTTTGGAATTTGCAAGTGCAGATTTCAAGCGATTCTAGGCCTATGGCAGGAAAGGAAATATCTTCGTATGAAAACTACACAGAATCATTCTCAACAACTACTTTGTGATGTGTGCGTTCAACTCACAGAGTTTAACCTTTCTTTTCATAGAGCAGTTTGGAAACACTCTGTTTGTAAAGTCTGCAGGTGCTTATTTGGACTTCTTTGAGGCCTTCGTTGGAAACGGGATTTCTTCATGTAATGCTAGACAGAAGAATTCTCAGTCACTTCTTTGTGTTGTGTGTATTCAAGTCACAGAGTTGAACCTTCCTTTACACAGAGCAGTTTTGAAAAACTCTTTCTGTGGAATTTGCAAGTGGAGATTTCAAGCGATTTGAGGCTAATCTTTGAAATGGAAATAGCTTCGTGTAAAAACTACACAGAATCATTGTCAGAAACTGCTTTGTTATGTGTGCGTTCAGCTCACAGAGTTCCACCTTTGTTTTCATAGAGCAGTTTGGAAAGACTCTGTCTGTAAAGTCTGCAAGTGATTACTTGGACCCCTTTGAGGACTTCGTTGGAAGCGGGATTTTTTCATTTACTGCCAGACAGAAGAATTCTCAGTAAATCCTTTGTGTTGTGTGTATTCAACTCACAGAGTGGAACCTTCCTTTATTCAGAGCAGTTTTGAAACACTCTTTTTGTGGAATTTGCAAGTGGAGATTTCAAGCGAATTCACGCCAATCTTAGACATGGAAACATCTTCGTATTAAAAGTACACAGAGTCATTCGTAGAAACTAGTTTGTGATGTGTGCCTTCAACTCACAGAGTTTAACCTTTCTTTTCATAGAGCAGTTGGGAAACACTCTATTTGTAAAGTCTGCAAGTGGATATTTGGACCTCTTTGAGGCCTTCGTTGGAAACGGGATTTCTTCATATAACGCTAGACAGAAGAATTCTCAGTAACTTCTTTGTGTTGTTTGTATGCAACTCACAGATTTGAACCTTCCTTTAGATAGAGCAGTTTTGAAACACTCTGTTTTTGGAATTTGCAAGTGCAGATTTCAAGTACTTCTAGGCCTATGGCAGAAAAGGAAATATCTTCGTATGAAAACTACACAGAATCATTCTCAACAACTACTTTGTGATGTGTGCGTTCAACTCACACAGTTTAACCTTTCTTTTCATAGAGCAGTTTGGAAACACTCTGTTTGTAAAGTCTGCAGGTGCTTATTTGGACTTCTTTGAGGCCTTCGTTGGAAACGGGAATTCTTCATATAATCCTAGACAGAAGAATTCTCAGTCACTTCTTTGTGTTGTGTGTATTCAAGTCACAGAGTTGAACCTTCCTTTACACAGAGCAGTTTTGAAAAACTCTTTCTGTGGAATTTGCAAGTGGAGATTTCAAGCGATTTGAGGCTAATCTTTGAAATGGAAATAGCTTCGTGTAAAAACTTCACAGAATCATTCTCAGAAACTGCTTTGTTATGTGTGCGTTCAGCTCACAGAGTTCCACCTTTCTTTTCATAGAGCAGTTTGGAAAGACTCTGTCTGTAAAGTCTGCAAGTGATTACTTGGACCCCTTTGAGGACTTCGTTGGAAGCGGGATTTTTTCATTTACTGCTAGACAGAAGAATTCTCAGTAAATCCTTTGTGTTGTGTGTATTCAACTCACAGAGTGGAACCTTCCTTTATTCAGAGCAGTTTTGAAACACTCTTTTTGTGGAATTTGCAAGTGGAGATTTCAAGCGAATTCACGCCAATCTTAGACATGGAAACATCTTCGTATTAAAAGTACACAGAGTCATTCGCAGAAACTAGTTTGTGATGTGTGCCTTCAACTCACGGAGTTTAACCTTTCTTTTCATAGAGCAGTTTGGAAACACTCTATTTGTAAAGTCTGCAAGTGGATATTTGGACCTCTTTGAGGCCTTCGTTGGAAACGGGATTTCTTCATATAACGCTAGACAGAAGAATTCTCAGTAACTTCTTTGTGTTGTTTGTATTCAACTCACAGATTTGAACCTTCCTTTAGAGAGAGCAGATTTGAAACACTCTGTTTTTGGAATTTGCAAGTGCAGATTTCAAGCGCTTCTAGGCCTATGGCAGAAAAGGAAATATCTTCGTATAAAAACTACACAGAATCATTCTCAACAACTACTTTGTGATGTGTGCGTTCAACTCACAGAGTTTAACCTTTCTTTTCATAGAGCAGTTTGGAAACACTCTGTTTGTAAAGCCTGCAAGTGCTTTTTTGGACTTCATTGAGGCCTTCGTTGGAAACGGGATTTCTTCATATAATGCTAGACAGAAGAATTCTCAGTCACTTCTTTGTGTTGTGTGTATTCAAGTCACAGAGTTGAACCTTCCTTTACACAGAGCAGTTTTGAAAAACTCTTTCTGTGGAATTTGCAAGTGGAGATTTCAAGCGATTTGAGGCTAATCTTTGAAATGGAAATATCTTCGTGTAAAAACTACACAGAATCATTCTCAGAAACTGCTTTGTCATCTGTGCGTTCAGTTCACAGAGTTTCACCTTTCTCTTCATAGAGCAGTTTGGAAAGACTCTGTCTGTAAAGTCTGCAAGTGATTAGTTAGACCCCTTTGAGGCCTTCGTTGGAAGCGGGATTTCTCATTTACTGCTAGACAGAAGAATTCTCAGTAAATCCTTTGTGTTGTGTGTATTCAACTCACAGAGTGGAACCTTCCTTTATTCAGAGCAGTTTTGAAACACTCTTTTTGTGGAATTTGCAAGTGGAGATTTCAAGCGAATTCACGCCAATCTTAGACATGGAAACATCTTCGTATTAAAAGTACACAGAGTCATTCGCAGAAACTAGTTTGTGATGTGTGCCTTCAACTCACGGAGTTTAACCTTTCTTTTCATAGAGCAGTTTGGAAACACTCTATTTGTAAAGTCTGCAAGTGGATATTTGGACCTCTTTGAGGCCTTCGTTGGAAACGGGATTTCTTCATATAACGCTAGACAGAAGAATTCTCAGTAACTTCTTTGTGTTGTTTGTATTCAACACACAGATTTGAACCTTCCTTTAGAGAGAGCAGATTTGAAACACTCTGTTTTTGGAATTTGCAAGTGCAGATTTCAAGCGCTTCTAGGCCTATGGCAGAAAAGGAAATATCTTCGTATAAAAACTACACAGAATCATTCTCAACAACTACTTTGTGATGTGTGCGTTCAACTCACAGAGTTTAACCTTTCTTTTCATAGAGCAGTTTGGAAACACTCTGTTTGTAAAGTCTGCAGGTGCTTATTTGGACTTCTTTGAGGCCTTCGTTGGAAACGGGATTTCTTCATGTAATGCTAGACAGAAGAATTCTCAGTCACTTCTTTGTGTTGTGTGTATTCAAGTCACAGAGTTGAACCTTCCTTTACACAGAGCAGTTTTGAAAAACTCTTTCTGTGGAATTTGCAAGTGGAGATTTCAAGCGATTTGAGGCTAATCTTTGAAATGGAAATATCTTCGTGTAAAAACTACACAGAATCATTCTCAGAAACTGCTTTGTTATGTGTGCGTTCAGCTCACAGAGTTCCACCTTTCTTTTCATAGAGCAGTTTGGAAAGACTCTGTCTGTAAAGTCTGCAAGTGATTACTTGGACCCCTTTGAGGACTTCGTTGGAAGCGGGATTTTTTCATTTACTGCTAGACAGAAGAATTCTCAGTAAATCCTTTGTGTTGTGTGTATTCAACTCACAGAGTGGAACCTTCCTTTATTCAGAGAAGTTTTGAAAAACAATTTTTGTGGAATTTGCAAGTGGAGATTTCAAGCGATTTGACGCCAATCTTAGACATGGAAATATCTTCATATTAAAAGTACAGAGAGTCATTCGTAGAAACTAGTTTGTGATGTGTGCCTTCAACTCACAGAGTTTAACCTTTCTTTTCATAGAGCAGTTTGGAAACACTCTATTTGTAAAGTCTGCAAGTGGATATTTGGACCTCTTTGAGGCCTTCGTTGGAAACGGGATTTCTTCATACAACGCTAGACAGAAGAATTCTCAGTAACTTCTTTGTGTTGTTTGTATTCAACACACAGATTTGAACCTTCCTTTAGAGAGAGCAGATTTGAAACACTCTGTTTTTGGAATTTGCAAGTGCAGATTTCAAGCGCTTCTAGGCCTATGGCAGAAAAGGAAATATCTTCGTATAAAAACTACACAGAATCATTCTCAACAACTACTTTGTGATGTGTGCGTTCAACTCACAGAGTTTAAACTTTCTTTTCATAGAGCAGTTTGGAAACACTCTGTTTGTAAAGCCTGCAAGTGCTTTTTTGGACTTCATTGAGGCCTTCGTTGGAAACGGGATTTCTTCATATAATGCTGGACAGAAGAATTCTCAGTCACTTCTTTGTGTTGTGTGTATTCAAGTCACAGAGTTGAACCTTCTTTTAGACAGAGCAGTCTTGAAAAATTTTTTCTGTGGAATTTGCAAGTGGAGATTTCAAGCGATTTGAGGCTAATCTTTGAAATGGAAATATCTTCGTGTAAAAACTGCACAGAAGCATTCTCAGAAACTGCTTTGTTATCTGTGCGTTCAGTTCACAGAGTTTCACCTTTCTCTTCATAGAGCAGTTTGGAAAGACTCTGTCTGTAAAGTCTGCAAGTGATTAGTTAGACCCCTTTGAGGCCTTCGTTGGAAGCGGGATTTCTCATTTATTGCTAGACAGAAGAATTCTCAGTAAATCCTTTGTGTTGCGTGTATTCAACTCACAGAGTGGAACCTTCCTTTATTCAGAGCAGTTTTGAAAAACACTTTTTGTGGAATTTGCAAGTGGAGATTTCAAGCGATTTGACGCCAATCTTAGACATGGAAATATCTTCATATTAAAAGTACACAGAGTCATTCGTAGAAACTAGTTTGTGATGTGTGCCTTCAACTCACAGAGTTTAACCTTTCTTTTCATAGAGCAGTTTGGAAACACTCTATTTGCAAAGTCTGCAAGTGGATATTTGGACCTCTTTGAGGCCTTCGTTGGAGACGGGATTTCTTCATACAACGGCAGACAGAAGTATTCTCAGTAACTTCTTTGTGTTGTTTGTATTCAACTCACAGATTTGAAACTTCCTTTAGAGAGAGCAGATTTGAAACACTCTGTTTTTGGAATTTGCAAGTGCAGATTGCAAGCGCTTCTAGGCCTATGGCAGAAAAGGAAATATCTTCGTATAAAAACTACACAGATCATTGCTCAACAACTACTTTGTGATGTGTGCGTTCAACTCACAGAGTTTAAACTTTCTTTTCATAGAGCAGTTTGGAAACACTCTGTTTGTAAAGCCTGCAAGTGCTTTTTTGGACTTCATTGAGGCCTTCGTTGGAAACGGGATTTCTTCATGTAATGCTAGACAGAAGAATTCTCAGTCACTTCTTTGTGTTGTGTGTATTCAAGTCACAGAGTTGAACCTTCCTTTAGACAGAGCAGTTTTGAAAAATTGTTTCTGTGGAGTTTGCAAGTGGAGATTTCAAGCGATTTGAGGCTAATCTTTGAAATGGAAATATCTTCGTGTAAAAACTACACAGAATCATTCTCAGAAACTGCTTTGTTATCTGTGCGTTCAGTTCACAGAGTTTCACCTTTCTCTTCATAGAGCAGTTTGGAAAGTCTCTGTCTGTAAAGTCCGCAAGTGATTAGTTAGACCCCTTTGAGGCCTTCGTTGGAAGCGGGATTTCTCATTTACTGCTAGACAGAAGAATTCTCAGTAAATCCTTTCTGTTGCGTGTATTCAACTCACAGAGTGGAACCTTCCTTTATTCAGAGCAGTTTTGAAAAACACTGTTTGTGGAATTTGCAAGTGGAGATTTCAAGCGATTTGACGCCAATCTTAGACATGGAAATATCTTCATATTAAAAGTACACAGAGTCATTCGTAGAAACTAGTTTGTGATGTGTGCCTTCAACTCACAGAGTTTAACCTTTCTTTTCATAGAGCAGTTGGGAAACACTCTATTTGTAAAGTCTGCAAGTGGATATTTGGACCTCTTTGAGGCCTTCGTTGGAAACGGGATTTCTTCATATAACGCTAGACAGAAGAATTCTCAGTAACTTCTTTGTGTTGTTTGTATTCAACTCACAGATTTGAACCTTCCTTTGGAGAGAGCAGATTTGAAACACTCTGTTTTTGGAATTTGCAAGTGCAGATTGCAAGCGCTTCTAGGCCTATGGCAGAAAAGGAAATATCTTCGTATAAAAACTACACAGAATCATTCTCAACAACTGCTTTGTGATGTGTGCGTTCAACTCACAGAGTTTAACCTTTCTTTTCATAGAGCAGTTTGGAAACACTCTGTTTGTAAATCCTGCAAGTGCTTCTTTGGACTTCATTGAGGCCTTCATTGGAAACGGGATTTCTTCATGTAATGCTAGACAGAAGAATTCTCAGTCACTTCTTTGTGTTGTGTGTATTCAAGTCACAGAGTTGAACCTTCCTTTAGACAGAGCAGTTTTGAAAAATTCTTTCTGTGGAATTTGCAAGTGGAGATTTCAAGCGATTTGAGGCTAATCTTTGAAATGGAAATATCTTCGTGTAAAAACTACACGGAATCATTCTCAGAAACTGCTTTGTCATCTGTGCGTTCAGTTCACAGAGTTTCACCTTTCTCTTCATAGAGCAGTTTGGAAAGACTCTGTCTGTAATGTCTGCAAGTGATTAGTTAGACCCCATTGAGGCCTTCGTTGGAAGCGGGATTTCTCATTTACTGCTAGACAGAAGAATTCTCAGTAAATCCTTTGTGTTGTGTGTATTCAACTCACAGAGTTGAACCTTCCTTTATTCAGAGCAGTTTTGAAAAACACTTTTTGTGGAATTTGGAAGTGGAGATTTCAAGCGATTTGACGCCAATCTTAGACATGGAAATATCTTCATATTAAAACTACACAGAATCATTCTCAGAAAACACTCTGTGATGTGTGTGTTCAACTCACAGAGTTTAACGTTTCTTTAATCGAGCAGTTTGGAAATACACTCTTTGTAAGTCTGCAGGTGGATAATTGGCCCTCTTTGAACCCTTCATTGGAAACGGGATTTCCTCATATAATGCTAGACAGAAGAATTCTCAGTAACTTCTTTGTGTTGTTTGTATTCAACTCACAGATTTGAACCTTCCTTTAGAGAGAGCAGATTTGAAACACTCTGTTTTTGGAATTTGCAAGTGCAGATTTCAAGCGCTTCTAGGCCTATGGCAGAAAAGGAAATATCTTCGTATGAAAACTACACAGCATCATTCTCAACAACTACTTTGTGATGTGTGCGTTCAACTCCCAGAGTTTAACCTTTCTTTTCATAGAGCAGTTTGGAAACACTCTGTTTGTAAAGCCTGCAAGTGCTTTTTTGGACTTCATTGAGGCCTTCGTTGGAAACGGGATTTCTTCATATAATGCTAGACAGAAGAATTCTCAGTCACTTCTTTGTGTTGTGTGTATTCAAGTCACAGAGTTGAACCTTCCTTTACACAGAGCAGTTTTGAAAAACTCTTTCTGTGGAATTTGCAAGTGGAGATTTCAAGCGATTTGAGGCTAATCTTTGAAATGGAAATAGCTTCGTGTAAAAACTACACAGAATCATTGTCAGAAACTGCTTTGTTATGTGTGCGTTCAGCTCACAGAGTTCCACCTTTCTTTTCATAGAGCAGTTTGGAAAGACTCTGTCTGTAAAGTCTGCAAGTGATTACTTGGACCCCTTTGAGGACTTCGTTGGAAGCGGGATTTTTTCATTTACTGCTAGACAGAAGAATTCTCAGTAAATCCTTTGTGTTGTGTGTATTCAACTCACAGAGTGGAACCTTCCTTTATTCAGAGCAGTTTTGAAAAACACTTTTCGTGGAATTTGCAAGTGGAGATTTCAAGCGATTTGACGCCAATCTTAGACATGGAAATATCTTCATATTAAAAGTACACAGAGTCATTCGTAGAAACTAGTTTGTGATGTGTGCCTTCAACTCACAGAGTTTAACCTTTCTTTTCATAGAGCAGTTTGGAAACACTCTATTTGTAAAGTCTGCAAGTGGATATTTGGACCTCTTTGAGGCCTTCGTTGGAAACGGGATTTCTTCATACAACGCTAGACAGAAAGAATTCTCAGTAACTTCTTTGTGTTGTTTGTATTCAACTCACAGATTTGAACCTTCCTTTAGAGAGAGCAGATTTGAAACACTCTGTTTTTGGAATTTGCAAGTGCAGATTACAAGCGCTTCTAGGCCTATGGCAGAAAAGGAAATATCTTCGTATAAAAACTACACAGAATCATTCTCAACAACTACTTTGTGATGTGTGCGTTCAACTCACAGAGTTTAACCTTTCTTTTCATAGAGCAGTTTGGAAACACTCTGTTTGTAAAGTCTGCAGGTGCTTATTTGGACTTCTTTGAGGCCTTCGTTGGAAACGGGATTTCTTCATATAATGCTAGACAGAAGAATTCTCAGTCACTTCTTTGTGTTGTGTGTATTCAAGTGACAGAGTTGAACCTTCCTTTACACAGAGCAGTTTTGAAAAACTCTTTCTGTGGAATTTGCAAGTGGAGATTTCAAGCGATTTGAGGCTAATCTTTGAAATGGAAATATCTTCGTGTAAAAACTACACAGAATCATTCTCAGAAACTGCTTTGTCATCTGTGCGTTCAGTTCACAGAGTTTCACCTTTCTCTTCATAGAGCAGTTTGGAAAGACTCTGTCTGTAAAGTCTGCAAGTGATTAGTTAGACCCCATTGAGGCCATCGTTGGAAGCGGGAGTTCTCATTTACTGCTAGACAGAAGAATTCTCAGTAAATCCTTTGTGTTGTGTGTATTCAACTCACAGAAGTGGAACCTTCCTTTATTCAGAGCAGTTTTGAAAAACACTTTTTGTGGAATTTGCAAGTGGAGATTTCAAGCGATTTGACGTCAATCTTAGACATGGAAATATCTTCATATTAAAAGTACACAGAGTCATTCGTAGAAACTAGTTTGTGATGTGTGCCTTCAACTCACAGAGTTTAACCTTTCTTTTCATAGAGCAGTTGGGAAACACTCTATTTGTAAAGTCTGCAAGTGGATATTTGGACCTCTTTGAGGCCTTCGTTGGAAACGGGATTTCTTCATATAACGCTAGACAGAAGAATTCTCAGTAACTTCTTTGTGTTGTGTGTATTCAACTCACAGAGTTGAACCTTTCTTTAGAGAGAGCAGAGTTGAAACACTCTGTTTTTGGAATTTGCAACTGCAGATTTCAAGCGATTCTAGGCCTATGGCAGAAAAGGAAATATCTTCGTATAAAAACTACACAGAATCATTCTCAGAAAACACTTTGTGATGTGTGTGTTCAACTCACAGAGTTTAACCTTTCTTTAATCGAGCAGTTTGGAAATACACTCTTTGTAAGTCTGCAGCTGGATAATTGTCCCTCTATGAGCCCTTCGTTGGAAACAGGATTTCCTCTTATAATGCTAGACAGAAGAATTCTCAGTCACTTCTTTGTGTTGTGTGTATTCAAGTCACAGAGTTGAACCTTCCTTTACACAGAGCAGTTTTGAAAAACTCTTTCTGTGGAATTTGCAAGTGGAGATTTCAAGCGATTTGAGGCTAATCTTTGAAATGGAAATATCTTCGTGTAAAAACTACACAGAATCATTCTCAGAAACTGCTTTGTTATGTGTGCGTTCAGCTCACAGAGTTCCACCTTTCTTTTCATAGAGCAGTTTGGAAAGACTCTGTCTGTAAAGTCTGCAAGTGATTACTTGGACCCCTTTGAGGACTTCGTTGGAAGCGGGATTTTTTCATTTACTGCTAGACATAAGAATTCTCAGTAAATCCTTTGTGTTGTGTGTATTCAACTCACAGAGTGGAACCTTCCTTTATTCAGAGCAGTTTTGAAAAACACTTTTTGTGGAATTTGCAAGTGGAGATTTCAAGCGATTTGACGCCAATCTTAGACATGGAAATATCTTCATATTAAAAGTACACAGAGTCATTCGCAGAAACTAGTTTGTGATGTGTGCCTTCAACTCACGGAGTTTAACCTTTCTTTTCATAGAGCAGTTTGGAAACACTCTATTTGTAAAGTCTGCAAGTGGATATTTGGACCTCTTTGAGGCCTTCGTTGGAAACGGGATTTCTTCATATAACGCTAGACAGAAGAATTCTCAGTAACTTCTTTGTGTTGTGTGTATTCAACTCACAGAGTTGAATCTTCCTTTAGAGAGAGCAGAGTTGAAACACTCTGTTTTTGGAATTTGCAAGTGCAGATTTCAAGCGCTTCTAGGCCTATGGCAGAAAAGGAAATATCTTCGTATAAAAACTACACAGAATCATTCTCAGAAAACACTTTGTGATGTGTGTGTTCAACTCACAGAGTTTAACCTTTCTTTAATCGAGCAGTTTGGAAATACACTCTTTGTAAGTCTGCAGCTGGATAATTGTCCCTCTATGAGCCCTTCGTTGGAAACGGGATTTCCTCATATAATGCTAGACAGAAGAATTCTCAGTCACTTCTTTGTGTTGTGTGTATTCAAGTCACAGAGTTGAACCTTCCTTTACACAGAGCAGTTTTGAAAAACTCTTTCTGTGGAATTTGCAAGTGGAGATTTCAAGCGATTTGAGGCTAATCTTTGAAATGGAAATATCTTCGTGTACAAACTACACAGAATCATTCTCAGAAACTGCTTTGTTATGTGTGCGTTCAGCTCACAGAGTTCCACCTTTCTTTTCATAGAGCAGTTTGGAAAGACTCTGTCTGTAAAGTCTGCAAGTGATTACTTGGACCCCTTTGAGGACTTCGTTGGAAGCGGGATTTTTTCATTTACTGCCAGACAGAAGAATTCTCAGTAAATCCTTTGTGTTGTGTGTATTCAACTCACAGAGTGGAACCTTCCTTTATTCAGAGCAGTTTTGAAACACTCTTTTTGTGGAATTTGCAAGTGGAGATTTCAAGCGAATTCACGCCAATCTTAGACATGGAAACATCTTCGTATTAAAAGTACACAGAGTCGTTCGCAGAAACTAGTTTGTGATGTGTGCCTTCAACTCACAGAGTTTAAGCTTTCTTTTCATAGAGCAGTTTGGAAACACTCTATTTGTAAAGTCTGCAAGTGGATATTTGGACCTCTTTGAGGCCTTCGTTGGAAACGGGATTTCTTCATATAACGCTAGACAGAAGAATTCTCAGTAACTTCTTTGTGTTGTGTGTATTCCACTCACAGAGTTGAACCTTTCTTGAGAGAGAGCAGAGTTGAAACACTCTGTTTGTGGAATTTGCTAGTGCAGATTTCAAACGCTTCGAAGACAGTGATAGAAAAGGATATATCTTCGTATTAAAACTAGACAAAATCATTCTCAACAACTACTTTGTGATGTGTGCGTTCAACTCACAGAGTTTAACCTTTCTTTTCATAGAGCAGTTTGGAAACACTCTGTTTGTAAAGTCTGCAGGTGCTTATTTGGACTTCTTTGAGGCCTTCGTTGGAAACGGGATTTCTTCATATAATGCTAGACAGAAGAATTCTCAGTCACTTCTTTGTGTTGTGTGTATTCAAGTCACAGAGTTGAACCTTCCTTTACACAGAGCAGTTTTGAAAAACTCTTTCTGTGGAATTTGCAAGTGGAGATTTCAAGCGATTTGAGGCTAATCTTTGAAATGGAAATATCTTCGTGTAAAAACTACACAGAATCATTCTCAGAAACTGCTTTGTTATCTGTGCGTTCAGTTCACAGAGTTTCACTTTTCTCTTCATAGAGCAGTTTGGAAAGACTCTGTCTGTAAAGTCTGCAAGTGATTACTTAGACCCCTTTGAGGCCTTCGTTGGAAGCGGGATTTCTCATTTACTGCTAGACAGAAGAATTCTCAGTAAATCCTTGGTGTTGTGTGTATTCAACTCACAGAGTTGAACCTTCCTTTATTCAGAGAAGTTTTGAAAAACACTTTTTGTGGAATTTGCAAGTGGAGATTTCAAGCGATTTGACGCCAATCTTAGACGTGGAAATATCTTCATATTAAAAGTACACAGAGTCATTCGCAGAAACTAGTTTGTGATGTGTGCCTTCAACTCACAGAGTTTAACCTTTCTTTTCATAGAGCAGTTTGGAAACACTCTATTTGTAAAGTCTGCAAGTGGATATTTGGACGTCTTTGCGGCCTTCGTTGGAAACGGGATTTCTTCATATAACGCTAGACAGAAGAATTCTCAGTAACTTCTTTGTGTTGTTTGTATTCAACTCACAGATTTGAACCTTCCTTTAGAGAGAGCAGATTTGAAACACTCTGTTTTTGGAATTTGCAAGTGCAGATTACAAGCGCTTCTAGGCCTATGGCAGAAAAGGAAATATCTTCGTATAAAAACTACACAGAATCATTCTCAGAAAACTCTTTGTGATGTGTGTGTTCAACTCACAGAGTTTAACCTTTCTTTTCATAGAGCAGTTTGGAAACACTCTGTTTGTAAAGCCTGCAAGTGCTTTTTTGGACTTCATTGAGGCCTTCGTTGGAAACGGGATTTCTTCATACAACGCTAGACAGAAGAATTCTCAGTCACTTCTTTGTGTTGTGTGTATTCAAGTCACAGAGTTGAACCTTCCTTTACACAGAGCAGTTTTGAAAAACTCTTTCTGTGGAATTTGCAAGTGGAGATTTCAAGCGATTTGAGGCTAATCTTTGAAATGGAAATATCTTCGTGTAAAAACTACACAGAATCATTCGCAGAAACTGCTTTGTCACCTGTGCGTTCAGTTCAGAGTTTCACCTTTCTCTTCATAGAGCAGTTTGGAAAGACTCTGTCTGTAAAGTCTGCAAGTGATTAGTTAGACCCCTTTGAGGCCTTCGTTGGAAGCGGGATTTCTCATCTACTGCTAGACAGAAGAATTCTCAGTTAGTCCTTTGTGTTCTGTGTATTCAACTCACAGAGTTGAACCTTCCTTTATTCAGAGCAGTTTTGAAAAACACTTTTTGTGGAATTTGCAAGTGGAGATTTCAAGCGATTTGACGCCAATCTTAGACATGGAAATATCTTCATATTAAAAGTACACAGAGTCATTCGTAGAAACTAGTTTGTGATGTGTGCCTTCAACTCACAGAGTTTAACCTTTCTTTTCATAGAGCAGTTTGGAAACACTCTATTTGTAAAGTCTGCAAGTGGATATTTGGACCTCTTTGAGGCCTTCGTTGGAAACGGGATTTCTTCATACAACGCTAGACAGAAGAATTCTCAGTAACTTCTTTGTGTTGTGTGTATTCAACTCACAGAGTTGAACCTTTCTTGAGAGAGAGCAGAGTTGAAACACTCTTTCTGTGGAATTTGCTAGTGCAGATTTCAAACGCTTCGAAGACAGTGATAGAAAAGGATATATCTTCGTATTGAAACTAGACAAAATCATTCTCAACAACTACTTTGTGATGTGTGCGTTCAACTCACAGAGTTTAACCTTTCTTTTCATAGAGCAGTTTGGAAACACTCTGTTTGTAAAGCCTGCAAGTGCTTTTTTGGACTTCATTGAGGCCTTCGTTGGAAACGGGATTTCTTCATATAATGCTAGACAGAAGAATTCTCAGTCATTTCTTTGTGTTGTGTGTATTCAAGTCACAGAGTTGAACCTTCCTTTAGACAGAGCAGTTTTGAAAAATTCTTTCTGTGGAGTTTGCAAGTGGAGATTTCAAGCGATTTGAGGCTAATCTTTGAAATGGAAATATCTTCGTGTAAAAACTACACAGAATCATTGTCAGAAACTGCTTTGTTATGTGTGCGTTCAGCTCACAGAGTTCCACCTTTCTTTTCATAGAGCAGTTTGGAAAGACTCTGTCTGTAAAGTCTGCAAGTGATTACTTGGACCCCTTTGAGGACTTCGTTGGAAGCGGGATTTTTTCATTTACTGCTAGACAGAAGAATTCTCAGTAAATCCTTTGTGTTGTGTGTATTCAACTCACAGAGTGGAACCTTCCTTTATTCAGAGCAGTTTTGAAACACTCTTTTTGTGGAATTTGCAAGTGGAGATTTCAAGCGATTTGACGCCAATCTTAGACATGGAAATATCTTCATATTAAAAGTACACAGAGTCATTCGTAGAAACTAGTTTGTGATGTGTGCCTTCAACTCACAGAGTTTAACCTTTCTTTTCATAGAGCAGTTGGGAAACACTCTATTTGTAAAGTCTGCAAGTGGATATTTGGACCTCTTTGAGGCCTTCGTTGGAAACGGGATTTCTTCATATAACGCTAGACAGAAGAATTCTCAGTAACTTCTTTGTGTTGTATGTATTCAACTCACAGAGTTGAACCTTTCTTTAGAGAGAGCAGAGTTGAAACACTCTGTTTTTGGAATTTGCAAGTGCAGATTTCAAGCGCTTCTAGGCCTATGGCAGAAAAGGAAATATCTTCGTATAAAAACTACACAGAATCATTCTCAGAAACTACTTTGTGATGTGTGCCTTCAACTCACAGAGTTTAACCTTTCTTTTCTTAGAGCAGTTTAGAAACACTCTGCTTGTAAAGTCTGCAGGTGCTTATTTGGACTTCTTTGAGGCCTTCGTTGGAAACGGGATTTCTTCATATAATGCTAGACAGAAGAATTCTCAGTCACTTCTTTGTGTTGTGTGTATTCAAGTCACAGAGTTGAACCTTCCTTTACACAGAGCAGTTTTGAAAAACTCTTTCTGTGGAATTTGCAAGTGGAGATTTCAAGCGATTTGAGGCTAATCTTTGAAATGGAAATAGCTTCGTGTAAAAACTACACAGAATCATTCTCAGAAACTGCTTTGTCATCTGTGCGTTCAGTTCACAGAGTTTCACCTTTCTCTTCATAGAGCAGTTTGGAAAGACTCTGTCTGTAAAGTCTGCAAGTGACTAGTTAGACCCCTTTGAGGCCTTCGTTGGAAGCGGGATTTCTCATTTACTGCTAGACAGAAGAATTCTCAGTAAATCCTTTGTGTTGTGTGTATTCAACTCACAGAGTGGAACCTTCCTTTATTCAGAACACTTTTGAAACACTCTTTTTGTGGAATTTGCAGGTGGAGATTTCAAGCGAATTCACGCCAATCTTAGACATGGAAACATCTTCGTATTAAAAGTACACAGAGTCATTCGTAGAAACTAGTTTGTGATGTGTGCCTTCAACTCACAGAGTTTAACCTTTCTTTTCATAGAGCAGTTGGGAAACACTCTATTTGTAAAGTCTGCAAGTGGATATTTGGACCTCTTTGAGGCCTTCGTTGGAAACGGGATTTCTTCATATAACGCTAGACAGAAGAATTTTCAGTAACTTCTTTGTGTTGTGTGTATTCAACTCACAGAGTTCAACTTTTCTTTAGAGAGAGCAGAGTTGAAACACTCTTTTTGTGGAATTTGCTAGTGCAGATTTCAAACGCTTCGAAGACAGTGATAGCAAAGGATATATCTTCGTATTAAAACTAGACAAAATCATTCTCAGAAAACACTTTCTGATGTGTGTGTTCAACTCACAGAGTTTAACCTTTCTTTAATTGAGCAGTTTGGAAATACACTCTTTTTAAGTCTGCAGGTGGATAATTGGCCCTCTTTGAGCCCTTCGTTGGAAACGGGATTTCCTCATATAATGCTAGACAGAAGAATTCTCAGTAACTTCTTTGTGTTGTTTGTATTCAACTCACAGATTTGAACCTTCATTTAGAGAGAGCAGATTTGAAACACTCTGTTTTTGGAATTTGCAAGTGCAGATTTCAAGCGCTTCTAGGCCTATGGCAGAAAAGGAAATATCTTCGTATAAAAACTACACAGAATCATTCTCAGAAAACACTTTGTGATGTGTGTGTTCAACTCACAGAGTTTAACCTTTCTTTAATCGAGCAGTTTGGAAATACACTCTTTGTAAGTCTGCAGCTGGATAATTGTCCCTCTATGAGCCCTTCGTTGGAAACGGGATTTCCTCATATAATGCTAGACAGAAGAATTCTCAGTCACTTCTTTGTGTTGTGTGTATTCAAGTCACAGAGTTGAACCATCCTTTACACAGAGCAGTTTTGAAAAACTCTTTCTGTGGAATTTGCAAGTGGAGATTTCAAGCGATTTGAGGCTAATCTTTGAAATGGAAATAGCTTCGTGTAAAAACTACACAGAAATCATTCTCAGCAAACTGCTTTGTCATCTGTGCGTTCAGTTCACAGAGTTTCACCTTTCTCTTCATAGAGCAGTTTGGAAAGACTCTGTCTGTAAAGTCTGCAAGTGATTAGTTAGACCCCTTTGAGGCCTTCGTTGGAAGCGGGATTTCTCATTTACTGCTAGACAGAAAGATTCTCAGTAAATCCTTTGTGTTGTGTGTATTCAACTCACAGAGTGGAACCTTCCTTTATTCAGAGCAGTTTTGAAACACTCTTTTTGTGGAATTTGCAAGTGGAGATTTCAAGCGAATTCACGCCAATCTTAGACATGGAAACATCTTCGTATTAAAAGTACACAGAGTCATTCGCAGAAACTAGTTTGTGATGTGTGCCTTCAACTCACGGAGTTTAACCTTTCTTTTCATAGAGCAGTTTGGAAACACTCTATTTGTAAAGTCTGCAAGTGGATATTTGGACCTCTTTGAGGCCTTCGTTGGAAACGGGATTTCTTCATATAACGCTAGACAGAAGAATTCTCAGTAACTTCTTTGTGTTGTGTGTATTCCACTCACAGAGTTGAAGCTTCCTTGAGAGAGAGCAGAGTTGAAACACTCTGTTTGTGGAATTTGCTAGTGCAGATTTCAAACGCTTCGAAGACAGTGATAGAAAAGGATATATCTTCGTATTAAAACTAGACAAAATCATTCTCAGAAAACACTTTGTGATGTGTGTGTTCAACTCACAGAGTTTAACCTTTCTTTAATCGAGCAGTTTGGAAATACACTCTTTGTAAGTCTGCAGCTGGATAATTGTCCCTCTATGAGCCCTTCGTTGGAAACAGGATTTCCTCTTATAATGCTAGACAGAAGAATTCTCAGTCACTTCTTTGTGTTGTGTGTATTCAAGTCACAGAGTTGAACCTTCCTTTAGACAGAGCAGTTATGAAAAATTCTTACTGTGGAATTTGCAAGTGGAGATTTCAAGCGATTTGAGGCTAATCTTTGAAATGGAAATTTCTTCGTGTAAAAACTACACAGAAATCATTCTCAGAAACTGCTTTGTTATGTGTGCGTTCAGCTCACAGAGTTCCACCTTTCTTTTCATAGAGCAGTTTGGAAAGACTCTGTCTGTAAAGTCTGCAAGTGAATACTTGGACCCCTTTGAGGACTTCGTTGGAAGCGGGATTTTTTCATTTACTGCTAGACAGAAGAATTCTCAGTAAATCCTTTGTGTTGTGTGTATTCAACTCACAGAGTGGAACCTTCCTTTATTCAGAGCAGTTTTGAAACACTCTTTTTGTGGAATTTGCAAGTGGAGATTTCAAGCGATTTGACGCCAATCTTAGACATGGAAATATCTTCATATTAAAAGTACACAGAGTCATTCGCAGAAACTAGTTTGTGATGTGTGCCTTCAACTCACGGAGTTTAACCTTTCTTTTCATAGAGCAGTTTGGAAACACTCTATTTGTAAAGTCTGCAAGTGGATATTTGGACCTCTTTGAGGCCTTCGTTGGAAACGGGATTTCTTCATATAACGCTAGACAGAAGAATTCTCAGTAACTTCTTTGTGTTGTTTGTATTCAACTCACAGATTTGAACCTTCCTTTGGAGAGAGCAGATTTGAAACACTCTGTTTTTGGAATTTGCAAGTGCAGATTGCAAGCGCTTCTAGGCCTATGGCAGAAAAGGAAATATCTTCGTATAAAAACTACACAGAATCATTCTCAGAAAACACTTTGTGATGTGTGTGTTCAACTCACAGAGTTTAACCTTTCTTTAATCGAGCAGTTTGGAAATACACTCTTTGTAAGTCTGCAGCTGGATAATTGTCCCTCTATGAGCCCTTCGTTGGAAACGGGATTTCCTCTTATAATGCTAGACAGAAGAATTCTCAGTCACTTCTTTGTGTTGTGTGTATTCAAGTCACAGAGTTGAACCATCCTTTACACAGAGCAGTTTTGAAAAACTCTTTCTGTGGAATTTGCAAGTGGAGATTTCAAGCGATTTGAGGCTAATCTTTGAAATGGAAATAGCTTCGTGTAAAAACTACACAGAATCATTGTCAGAAACTGCTTTGTTATGTGTGCGTTCAGCTCACAGAGTTCCACCTTTCTTTTCATAGAGCAGTTTGGAAAGACTCTGTCTGTAAAGTCTGCAAGTGATTACTTGGACCCCTTTGAGGACTTCGTTGGAAGCGGGATTTTTTCATTTACTGCTAGACAGAAGAATTCTCAGTAAATCCTTTGTATTGTGTGTATTCAACTCACAGGAGTGGAACCTTCCTTTATTCAGAGCAGTTTTGAAACACTCTTTTTGTGGAATTTGCAAGTGGAGATTTCAAGCGAATTCACGCCAATCTTAGACATGGAAACATCTTCGTATTAAAAGTACACAGAGTCATTCGCAGAAACTAGTTTCTGATGTGTGCCTTCAAGTCACAGAGTTTAACCTTTCTTTTAATAGAGCAGTTTGGAAACACTCTATTTGTAAAGTCTGCAAGTGGATATTTGGACCTCTCTGAGGCCTTCGTTGGAAACGGGATTTCTTCATATAACGCTAGACAGAAGAATTCTCAGTAACTTCTTTGTGTTGTTTGTATTCAACACACAGATTTGAACCTTCCTTTAGAGAGAGCAGATTTGAAACACTCTGTTTTTGGAATTTGCAAGTGCAGATTTCAAGCGCTTCTAGGCCTATGGCAGAAAAGGAAATATCTTCGTATAAAAACTACACAGGAATCATTCTCAGAAAACACTTTGTGATGTGTGTGTTCAACTCACAGAGTTTAACCTTTCTTTAATCGAGCAGTTTGGAAATACACTCTTTGTAAGTCTGCAGCTGGATAATTGTCCCTCTATGAGCCCTTCGTTGGAAACGGGATTTCCTCTTATAATGCTAGACAGAAGAATTCTCAGTCACTTCTTTGTGTTGTGTGTATTCAAGTCACAGAGTTGAACTTTCCTTTACACAGAGCAGTTTTGAAAAACTCTTTCTGTGGAATTTGCAAGTGGAGATTTCAAGCGATTTGAGGCTAATACTTTGAAATGGAAATAGCTTCGTGTAAAAACTACACAGAAGCATTCTCAGAAACTGCTTTGTCATCTGTGCGTTCAGTTCACAGAGTTTCACCTTTCTCTTCATAGAGCAGTTTGGAAAGATTCTGTCTGTAAAGTCTGCAAGTGATTAGTTAGACCCCTTTGAGGCCTTCGTTGGAAGCGGGATTTCTCATTTACTGCTAGACAGAAGAATTCTCAGTAAATCCTTTGTGTTGTGTGTATTCAACTCACAGAGTTGAACCTTCCTTTATTCAGAGCAGTTTTGAAAAACACTTTTTGTGGAATTTGGAAGTGGAGATTTCAAGCGATTTGACGCCAATCTTAGACATGGAAATATCTTCATATTAAAAGTACACAGAACCATTCTCAGAAAACTCTTTGTGATGTGTGTGTTCAACTCACAGAGTTTAACCTTTCTTTAATCGAGCAGTTTGGAAATACACTCTTTGTAAAGTCTGCAAGTGGATAATTGGCCCTCTTTGAGCCCTTCGTTGGAAACGGGATTTCCTCATATAGTGCTAGACAGAAGAATTCTCAATAACTTCTTTGTGTTGTTTGTATTCAACTCACAGATTTGATACTTCCATTAGAGAGAGCAGATTTCAAACACTCTTTTTTTGGAATTTGCAAGTGCTGATTTCAAGCGCTTCTAGGCCTATGGCAGAAAAGGGAATATCTTCGTATAAAAACTACACAGTATCATTCTCAACAACTACTTTGTGATGTGTGCGTTCAACTCACAGAGTTTAACCTTTCTTTTCATAGAGCAGTTTGGAAACACTCTGTTTGTAAAGTCTGCAGGTGCTTATTTGGACTTCTTTGAGGCCTTCGTTGGAAACGGGATTTCTTCATATAATGCTAGACAGAAGAATTCTCAGTCACTTCTTTGTGTTGTGTGTATTCAAGTCACAGAGTTGAACCTTCCTTTAGACAGAGCAGTTTTGAAAAATTCTTTCTGTGGAATTTGCAAGTGGAGATTTCAAGCGATTTGAGGCTAATCTTTGAAATGGAAATATCTTCGTGTAAAAACTACACAGAATCATTCTCAGAAACTGCTTTGTCCTCTGTGCGTTCAGTTCACAGAGTTTCACCTTTCTCTTCATAGAGCAGTTTGGAAAGACTCTGTCTGTAAAGTCTGCAAGTGATTAGTTAGACCCCTTTGAGGCCTTCGTTGGAAGCGGGATTTCTCATTTACTGCTAGACAGAAGAATTCTCAGTAAATCCTTTGTGTTGTGTTTATTCAACTCACAGAGTGGAACCTTCCTTTATTCAGAGCAGTTTTGAAACACTCTTTTTGTGGAATTTGCAAGTGGAGATTTCAAGCGATTTGACGCCAATCTTAGACATGGAAATATCTTCATATTAAAAGTACACAGAGTCATTCGCAGAAACTAGTTTGTGATGTGTGCCTTCAACTCACGGAGTTTAACCTTTCTTTTCATAGAGCAGTTTGGAAACACTCTATTTGTAAAGTCTGCAAGTGGATATTTGGACCTCTTTGAGGCCTTCGTTGGAAACGGGATTTCTTCATATAACGCTAGACAGAAGAATTCTCAGTAACTTCTTTGTGTTGTGTGTATTCAACTCACAGAGTTGAACCTTTCTTGAGAGAGAGCAGAGTTGAAACACTCTGTTTGTGGAATTTGCTAGTGCAGATTTCAAACGCTTCGAAGACAGTGATAGAAAAGGATATATCTTCGTATTAAAACTAGACAAAATCATTCTCAACAACTACTTTGTGATGTGTGCGTTCAACTCACAGAGTTTAACCTTTCTTTTCATAGAGCAGTTTGGAAACACTCTGTTTGTAAAGCCTGCAAGTGCTTTTTTGGACTTCATTGAGGCCTTCGTTGGAAACGGGATTTCTTCATATAATGCTAGACAGAAGAATTCTCAGTCACTTCTTTGTGTTGTGTGTATTCAAGTCACAGAGTTGAACCTTCCTTTACACAGAGCAGTTTTGAAAAACTCTTTCTGTGGAATTTGCAAGTGGAGATTTCAAGCGATTTGAGGCTAATCTTTGAAATGGAAATATCTTCGTGTAAAAACTACACAGAATCATTCTCAGAAACTGCTTTGTTATGTGTGCGTTCAGCTCACAGAGTTCCACCTTTCTTTTCATAGAGCAGTTTGGAAAGACTCTGTCTGTAAAGTCTGCAAGTGATTACTTGGACCCCTTTGAGGACTTCGTTGGAAGCGGGATTTTTTCATTTACTGCTAGACAGAAGAATTCTCAGTAAATCCTTTGTGTTGTGTGTATTCAACTCACAGAGTGGAACCTTCCTTTATTCAGAGCAGTTTTGAAAAACACTTTTTGTGGAATTTGCAAGTGGAGATTTCAAGCGATTTGACGCCAATCTTAGACATGGAAATATCTTCATATTAAAAGTACACAGAGTCATTCGCAGAAACTAGTTTGTAATGTGTGCCTTCAACTCACGGAGTTTAACCTTTCTTTTCATAGAGCAGTTTGGAAACACTCTATTTGTAAAGTCTGCAAGTGGATATTTGGACCACTTTGAGGCCTTCGTTGGAAACGGGATTTCTTCATATAACGCTAGACAGAAGAATTCTCAGTAACTTCTTTGTGTTGTTTGTATTCAACTCACAGATTTGAACCTTCCTTTAGAGAGAGCAGATTTGAAACACTCTGTTTTTGGAATTTGCAAGTGCAGATTTCAAGCGCTTCTAGGCCTATGGCAGAAAAGGAAATATCTTCGTATAAAAACTACACAGAATCATTCTCAGAAAACACTTTGTGATGTGTGTGTTCAACTCACAGAGTTTAACCTTTCTTTAATCGAGCAGTTTGGAAATACACTCTTTGTAAGTCTGCAGCTGGATAATTGTCCCTCTATGAGCCCTTCGTTGGAAACGGGATTTCCTCATATAATGCTAGACAGAAGAATTCTCAGTCACTTCTTTGTGTTGTGTGTATTCAAGTCACAGAGTTGAACCTTCCTTTAGACAGAGCAGTTTTGAAAAATTCTTTCTGTGGAGTTTGCAAGTGGAGATTTCAAGCGATTTGAGGCTAATCTTTGAAATGGAAATATCTTCGTGTAAAAACTACACAGAATCATTCTCAGAAACTGCTTTGTTATGTGTGCGTTCAGCTCACAGAGTTCCACCTTTCTTTTCATAGAGCAGTTTGTAAAGACTCTGTCTGTAAAGTCTGCAAGTGATTACTTGGACCCCTTTGAGGACTTCGTTGGAAGCGGGATTTTTTCATTTACTGCTAGACAGAAGAATTCTCAGTAAATCCTTTGTGTTGTGTGTATTCAACTCACAGAGTGGAACCTTCCTTTATTCAGAGCACTTTTGAAACACTCTTTTTGTGGAATTTGCAAGTGGAGATTTCAAGCGAATTCACGCCAATCTTAGACATGGAAACATCTTCGTATTGAAAGTACACAGAGTCATTCGCAGAAACTAGTTTGTGATGTGTGCCTTCAACTCACGGAGTTTAACCTTTCTTTTCATAGAGCAGTTTGGAAACACTCTATTTGTAAGTCTGCAAGTGGATATTTGGACCTCTTTGAGGCCTTCGTTGGAAACGGGATTTCTTCATATAACGCTAGACAGAAGAATTCTCAGTAACTTCTTTGTGTTGTGTGTATTCCACTCACAGAGTTGAACCTTTCTTGAGAGAGAGCAGAGTTGAAACACTCTTTTTGTGGAATTTGCTAGTGCAGATTTCAAACGCTTCGAAGACAGTGATAGAAAAGGATATATCTTCGTATTAAAACTAGACAAAATCATTCTCAACAACTACTTTGTGATGTGTGCGTTCAACTCACAGAGTTTAACCTTTCTTTTCATAGAGCAGTTTGGAAACACTCTGTTTGTAAAGTCTGCAGGTGCTTATTTGGACTTCTTTGAGGCCTTCGTTGGAAACGGGATTTCTTCATATAATGCTAGACAGAAGAATTCTCAGTCACTTCTTTGTGTTGTGTGTATTCAAGTCACAGAGTTGAACCTTCCTTTACACAGAGCAGTTTTGAAAAACTCTTTCTGTGGAATTTGCAAGTGGAGATTTCAAGCGATTTGAGGCTAATCTTTGAAATGGAAATATCTTCGTGTAAAAACTACACAGAATCATTCTCAGAAACTTCTTTGTTATGTGTGCGTTCAGCTCACAGAGTTCCACCTTTCTTTTCATAGAGCAGTTTGGAAAGACTCTGTCTGTAAAGTCTGCAAGTGATTACTTGGACCCCTTTGAGGACTTCGTTGGAAGCGGGATTTTTTCATTTACTGCTAGACAGAAGAATTCTCAGTAAATCCTTTGTGTTGTGTGTATTCAACTCACAGAGTGGAACCTTCCTTTATTCAGAGCAGTTTTGAAACACTCTTTTTGTGGAATTTGCAAGTGGAGATTTCAAGCGATTTGACGCCAATCTTAGACATGGAAATATCTTCATATTAAAAGTACACAGAGTCATTCGCAGAAACTAGTTTGTGATGTGTGCCTTCAACTCACAGAGTTTAAGCTTTCTTTTCATAGAGCAGTTTGGAAACACTCTATTTGTAAAGTCTGCAAGTGGATATTTGGACCTCTTTGAGGCCTTCGTTGGAAACGGGATTTCTTCATATAACGCTAGACAGAAGAATTCTCAGTAACTTCTTTGTGTTGTGTGTATTCCACTCACAGAGTTGAACCTTTCTTGAGAGAGAGCAGAGTTGAAACACTCTGTTTGTGGAATTTGCTAGTGCAGATTTCAAACGCTTCGAAGACAGTGATAGAAAAGGATATATCTTCGTATTAAAACTAGACAAAATCATTCTCAACAACTACTTTGTGATGTGTGCGTTCAACTCACAGAGTTTAACCTTTCTTTTCATAGAGCAGTTTGGAAACACTCTGTTTGTAAAGCCTGCAAGTGCTTTTTTGGACTTCATTGAGGCCTTCGTTGGAAACGGGATTTCTTCATATAATGCTAGACAGAAGAATTCTCATTAAATCCTTTCTGTTGTGTGTATTCAACTCACAGAGTTGAACCTTCCTTTATTCACAGCAGTTTTGAAACACTCTTTTTGTGGAATTTGCAAGTGGAGATTTCAAGCGATTTTAGGCTAATCTTTGAAATGGAAATATCTTCGTGTAAAAACTGCACAGAATCATTCTCAGAAACTGCTTTGTCATCTGTGCGTTCAGTTCACAGAGTTTCACCTTTCTCTTCATAGAGCAGTTTGGAAAGACTCTGTCTGTAAAGTCTGCAAGTGATTAGTTAGACCCCTTTGAGGCCTTCGTTGGAAGCGGGATTTCTCATTTACTGCTAGACAGAAGAATTCTCAGTAAATCCTTTGTGTTGTGTGTATTCAACTCACAGAGTGGAACCTTCCTTTATTCAGAGCACTTTTGAAACACTCTTTTTGTGGAATTTGCAAGTGGAGATTTCAAGCGAATTCACGCCAATCTTAGACATGGAAACATCTTCGTATTAAAAGTACACAGAATCATTCGTAGAAACTAGTTTGTGATGTGTGCCTTCAACTCACAGAGTTTAACCTTTCTTTTCATAGAGCAGTTCGGAAACATTCTATTTGTAAAGTCTGCAAGTGGATATTTGGACCTCTTTGAGGCCTTCGTTGGAAAAGGGATTTCTTCATATAACGCTAGACAGAAGAATTCTCAGTAACTTCTTTGTGTTGTGTGTATTCAACTCACAGGAGTTGAACCTTTCTTTAGAGAGAGCAGAGTTGAAACACTCTGTTTTTGGAATTTGCAAGTGCAGATTTCAAGCGATTCTAGGCCTATGGCAGGAAAGGAAATATCTTCGTATAAAAACTACACAGAATCATTCTCAACAACTACTTTGTGATGTGTGCGTTCAACTCACAGAGTTTAGCCTTTCTTTTCATAGAGCAGTTTGGAAACACTCTGTTTGTAAAGCCTGCAAGTGCTTTTTTGGACTTCATTGAGGCCTTCGTTGGAAACGGGATTTCTTCATATAATGCTAGACAGAAGAATTCTCAGTCACTTCTTTGTGTTGTGTGTATTCAAGTCACAGAGTTAAACCTTCCTTTAGACAGAGCAGTTTTGAAAAATTCTTTCTGTGGAATTTGCAAGTGGAGATTTCAAGCGATTTGAGGCTAATCTTTGAAATGGAAATATCTTCGTGTAAAAACTACACAGAATCATTCTCAGAAACTGCTTTGTCATCTGTGCGTTCAGTTCACAGAGTTTCACCTTTCTCTTCATAGAGCAGTTTGGAAAGACTCTGTCTGTAAAGTCTGCAAGTGATTAGTTAGACCCCTTTGAGGCCTTCGTTGGAAGCGGGATTTCTCATTTACTGCTAGACAGAAGAATTCTCAGTAAATCCTTTGTGTTGTGTGTATTCAACTCACAGAGTGGAACCTTCCTTTATTCAGAGCAGTTTTGAAAAACACTTTTTGTGGAATTTGCAAGTGGAGATTTCAAGCGATTTGACGCCAATCTTAGACATGGAAATATCTTCATATTAAAAGTACACAGAGTCATTCGTAGAAACTAGTTTGTGATGTGTGCCTTCAACTCACAGAGTTTAACCTTTCTTTTCATAGAGCAGTTTGGAAACACTCTATTTGTAAAGTCTGCAAGTGGATATTTGGACCTCTTTGAGGCCTTCGTTGGAAACGGGATTTCTTCATACAACGCTAGACAGAAGAATTCTCAGTAACTTCTTTGTGTTGTTTGTATTCAACTCACAGATTTGAACCTTCCTTTAGAGAGAGCAGATTTGAAACACTCTGTTTTTGGAATTTGCAAGTGCAGATTACAAGCGCTTCTAGGCCTATGGCAGAAAAGGAAATATCTTCGTATAAAAACTACACAGAATCATTCTCAACAACTACTTTGTGATGTGTGCGTTCAACTCACAGAGTTTAACCTTTCTTTTCATAGAGCAGTTTGGAAACACTCTGTTTGTAAAGCCTGCAAGTGCTTTTTTGGAGTTCATTGAGGCCTTCGTTGGAAACGGGATTTCTTCATACAACGCTAGACAGAAGAATTCTCAGTCACTTCTTTGTGTTGTGTGTATTCAAGTCACAGAGTTGAACCTTCCTTTAGACAGAGCAGTTTTGAAAAATTCTTTCTGTGGAGTTTGCAAGTGGAGATTTCAAGCGATTTGAGGCTAATCTTTGAAATGGAAATATCTTCGTGTAAAAACTACACAGAATCATTCTCAGAAACTGCTTTGTTATGTGTGCGTTCAGCTCACAGAGTTCCACCTTTCTTTTCATAGAGCAGTTTGGAAAGACTCCGTCTGTAAAGTCTGCAAATGATTACTTGGACCCCTTTGAGGACTTCGTTGGAAGCGGGATTTTTTCATTTACTGCTAGACAGAAGAATTCTCAGTAAATCATTTGTGTTGCGTTTATTCAACTCACAGAGTGGAACCTTCCTTTATTCAGAGCAGTTTTGAAACACTCTTTTTGTGGAATTTGCAAGTGGAGATTTCAAGCGATTTGACGCCAATCTTAGACATGGAAATATCTTCATATTAAAAGTACACAGAGTCATTCGTAGAAACTAGTTTGTGATGTGTGCCTTCAACTCACAGAGTTTAACCTTTCTTTTCATAGAGCAGTTTGGAAACACTCTATTTGTAAAGTCTGCAAGTGGATATTTGGACCTCTTTGAGGCCTTCGTTGGAAACGGGATTTCTTCATACAACGCTAGACAGAAGAATTCTCAGTAACTTCTTTGTGTTGTTTGTATTCAACACACAGATTTGAACCTTCCTTTAGAGAGAGCAGATTTGAAACACTCTGTTTTTGGAATTTGCAAGTGCAGATTTCAAGCGCTTCTAGGCCTATGGCAGAAAAGGAAATATCTTCGTATAAAAACTACACAGAATCATTCTCAACAACTACTTTGTGATGTGTGCGTTCAACTCACAGAGTTTAACCTTTCTTTTCATAGAGCAGTTTGGAAACACTCTGTTTGTAAAGTCTGCAGGTGCTTATTTGGACTTCTTTGAGGCCTTCGTTGGAAACGGGATTTCTTCATATAATGCTAGACAGAAGAATTCTCAGTCACTTCTTTGTGTTGTGTGTATTCAAGTCACAGAGTTGAACCATCCTTTACACAGAGCAGTTTTGAAAAACTCTTTCTGTGGAATTTGCAAGTGGAGATTTCAAGCGATTTGAGGCTAATCTTTGAAATGGAAATAGCTTCGTGTAAAAACTACACAGAATCATTCTCAGAAACTGCTTTGTTATGTGTGCGTTCAGCTCGCAGAGTTCCACCTTTCTTTTCATAGAGCAGTTTGGAAAGACTCTGTCTGTAAAGTCTGCAAGTGATTACTTGGACCCCTTTGAGGACTTCGTTGGAAGCGGTATTTTTTCATTTACTGCTAGACAGAAGAATTCTCAGTAAATCCTTTGTGTTGTGTGTATTCAACTCACAGAGTGGAACCTTCCTTTATTCAGAGCAGTTTTGAAACACTCTTTTTGTGGAATTTGCAAGTGGAGATTTCAAGCGAATTCACGCCAATCTTAGACATGGAAACATCTTCGTATTAAAAGTACACAGAAGTCATTCGTAGAAACTAGTTTGTGATGTGTGCCTTCAACTCACAGAGTTTAACCTTTCTTTTCATAGAGCAGTTTGGAAACACTCTGTTTGTAAAGTCTGCAAGTGGATATTTGGACCTCTTTGAGGCCTTCGTTGGAAACGGGATTTCTTCATACAACGCTAGACAGAAGAATTCTCAGTCACTTCTTTGTGTTGTGTGTATTCAAGTCACAGAGTTGAACCTTCCTTTAGACAGAGCAGTTTTGAAAAATTCTTTCTGTGGAATTTGCAAGTGGAGATTTCAAGCGATTTGAGGCTAATCTTTGAAATGGAAATATCTTCGGTGTAAAAACTACACAGAATCATTCTCAGAAACTGCTTTGTTATGTGTGCGTTCAGCTCACAGAGTTCCACCTTTCTTTTCATAGAGCAGTTTGGAAAGACTCTGTCTGTGAAGTCTGCAAGTGATTACTTGGACACCTTTGAGGACTTCGTTGGAAGCGGGATTTTTTCATTTACTGCTAGACAGAAGAATTCTCATTAAATCCTTTGTTTTGTGTGTATTCAACTCACAGAGTTGAACCTTCCTTTATTCAGAGCAGTTTTGAAACACTCTTTCTGTGGAATTTGCAAGTGGAGATTTCAAGCGATTTGAGGCTAATCTTTGAAATGGAAATATCTTCGTGTAAAAACTACACAGAATCATTCTCAGAAACTGCTTTGTTATCTGTGCGTTCAGTTCACAGAGTTTCACCTTTCTCTTCATAGAGCAGTTTGGAAAGACTCTGTCTGTAAAGTCTGCAAGTGATTAGTTAGATACCTTTGAGGCCTTCGTAGGAAGCGGGACTTCTCATTTACTGCTAGACAGA